>NC_000002.12:198701739-199004769 GCF_000001405.40 Homo sapiens | reverse complement strand
TTCAACATATTGGCTGGTCTCCAACTCCTGACCTCGTGATCCACTCGCCTTGGCCTCCCAAAGTGCTGGGATTACAGGCGTGAGCCACCGCACCCAGCCAAATATATACAATTTGTATTTGTCAATTCAAAAAATAAACTTAAAAATTTAAGTAATACCTGAAAACATGTTTTTGTTGTTGTTGTTAATTACTCAAAGGTATAAAAAGTTCCCCTTCAATCAATCATCATCTTTTGTCAATCTAACTCTCCTCTCCAGAGGTAATAACTTTTAAATATTTGCTGTGTATCTTTCTTAACTCATTTCTAAGCATTTTATGAATTTTTATGTAGTATACGGACATCATGTAGTTTTAAAAACATATAAATAGGCTTATAACATATATTATTCTTCAAATTCTTTTATGACTTAGAAATATATGTCTTAGAGACATTTCTATGTCAATAACTATGGATTATCTCATTTTTAACTTTTGCAGAGGATTTCATAGTACTTCAGCTTCATAATAATTTAACTCTTTCATTCTGATAATAGGTTACTTCTAACTAAAATGTAATAAACATCTTTGTTGTATATTTTAGATGTACTGAGGGGTATTTTTGGTAAAATGGATAACTAGAAATGTAATTCTTAAATCGAAGGGTATGCATACATATTTTACATTCTAGTAGGTACTTTTAAATTATACTCTAAAAACTGGTATTAAATTACATTCCCAAAAGTGTATGTGTTTCTCCACACCCTCAATGACACTGGATATCATCATTTTCTATAATAAGTTTATTCAATTCAATGTGGGTAACAACAACAAAATCAATGTTTTAATTTGCATTTTCTTGACTATCTGATGCTGAACCAGTGAAGTTTATCATCCTTTTATATACAATATTTCTGCTTCTGCTTCCCTGAATTGTCTACTTATATTTTTTATTTATTTATTTTTCCCAAATTCTTTTCGCAGTGACTAGGGTCTTTGCAGATATTCTGTTTCTTAAACTTTTATTGAAGAAAGTGTTTGCAAACACTTTCTTCTAGTTTGTTGCTTTTTAATTAATTTTGTTTACAACATTTTTTGAAATGCAAAAAACTATTAACATGTATTTAATCATATCTAGCATTATTTCCTTTAAAAGCTTTGAGAGTTGTTTATTTCCTGTGAAGGCATTCCTCACCTTAATGTTGGTGGACTAACCGTTAAGAGGTTGGGCTTCAGTGTTATGATGTCTGAGATCAAATCCTAGCTATATCCTTTTCTAGCTCTGTGACCTCAAGCAGGATTCCTCAGCTGTATGTGCCTCAGTCTTCTCATCTTAAAATGCAGATCTGAATAGTCCCATTTCATAGGGTTGTTTTATGGATTAACTGAAGTCCTAGAAATAAATTGCTTGGCACTCAATAATTGATATGTTTATTATAATCCAACACTTTATAGTTTTAAGAAGCATTTATCTTTTTAAGCCATCTTGAATTTACTTTTGTGTATAACATAATTATTTTCATTCAAAAAGATACTCAGTAATCAAAATATATTAATCATGTGCCTTTCTTCCCCACTAATTTGAAATGCTATCTTCACTACATATTTAATTCCCATGTCTACGTGAGTTTATTTCTTGACTGCATTTAGTTTCATCCATTTCTCTATTTTGGGGGTTTGTATTACACTGCTTTAATGATTATTAGGGCAAGAAACACACATTGTTCTTTTTCCAAAATCATTTGGCTGTTATTGTTTATTTCATTTTCAAGCTAACTAAAGAATCATGTGTGTATGTTTGTGTGTGTGTGTGTGTGTGTGTGTGTGTGCATGCGTGTATGTGTGTTTAACAAGAACTGTATTGAATTTATAAGTTAATTTGGAATTAATTGATAGTTTTGCCTAGGAATATGTCATATTCATTTGTAGGAGTTCTTTATATATTCTGGATGTTTGTCCTTTTTCTATTGTTTGTTGTGGTAGAGCTGAATAATGTCTTCTCTCCCGAAGATGTCCATATCCTAATTTCTGGGACCTATGAATATGTTAATTTGCATGGCATAAGGAACTCTGCAGATACTATTAAGGTAAGAATTTTGAGATGGAGAGATTATTCTGGATTATGAGGGTGAGCCCAGTGTAAGAGAAGCAGAGGTCAGAGTCAGAGAGAGAGAGGTTAAGACAGAAGCAGACGTCAGAATGTTGTGGGGCCAACACCCAAGGGACATAGGTAACCTCTAGATGCTGGAAAAGGTAAGAAACAGATTCTCCCCTCGAGCTTCCAGAAGAAACAAAGTTCTGCCAATACGTTGAGTTCAGCTCTATAAGGTTCATTTTGGACTTTTGATGTCCAGAATTGTAATATAAAATTGGTGTTTTAAGTCCTAAGCTTGTAATAATATGTTGAAGAAGCAATAGCAAACTAATACACTTATATTGCAGTCTTTTCTCTTGCTTTGTGGCTAGCGTTTTCTTTTTTCTTTTCTTTCTTTTTTTGAGATAGAATCTCTCTCTGTCGCCCAGGCTGGAGTGTAGTAGCATAACCTCAACTCATTGTAACGTCTGACTCCAAGGTTCAAGTGATTCTTGTGCCTCAGCCACCCGAGAAGCTGGCATTACAGGCACACACCACCACAACTGGCTAATTTTTGTATTTTTAGTAGAGAAGGAGTTTCACCATGTTGGCCGGGCTGGTCTCAAACGTCTGACCTCAAGTGATCCACCCACCTTGGCCTCCCAAAGTGCTGGGATTACAGGCGTGAGCCACTGCACCCAGCTTGCATTTTCACTCTCTTGATGCTATCTTTTGATGAACAAAAGCTTCCTTTTTATTTTAATATAATAAAATGCACAATCTTTCTTTTTGAATAATACTTTTGTATGCGATTTAAGAAATCTTTTTCTACCTAAAAGTTATAAAGATATTCTCTTCTGTTTCTTCTAGAAGCTCCACTGTTTTATGTTTTACATCTCAATTACAATGTTTCAGGAATAATATTTTGATGTATAGTTGAAATAGGTATCAAGTGTCACACATTTCAATAAAAATATTTAATTGGTATAGTACAGTTTATTTGAAAAAAATTATTATTCTCCAATTGTTCTGTCTCTGTCATGGCACCCTTTTTGGAAATCAGTTATCTTTAAACATAGAACTATTTAAAGACACAATTCTGTTATGCTTGTCTCTGTGTCTATTATTGCACAAATACCAATACCAATATTAGTGTAACTTTAGAAATAAGTCTCGATATCTGGTAGAGTAAGTCGTTCCTGTTTGCTTTTCTTCCTTAGGCTTGTCTGCCTATTTTGGGTTCTCTTCATTTCAATGTAAATTTTAGATTTCAATGATCAATTTCCACAAAAACATGCTGAGATATGACTGGGATTGCATTATAGATCAGTTTTGGGGATAACTGATATCTTTATAATACTGACTATCCTAATCTATAAATATTGTTTTAGCCTGAGTTCCCTAGAAAGCAAAGCCTGACCAGAAGTGTGCTAATACTTTAATAGGAAATATAATCATGGGGAGCAGGAGTGAGGAAGTATGGGAGCAAACTGTGAAAAAATAAGGTTATGCTACTGAGTTGGCCACCACAGTGGAGTATAGGTTGCTTAACCCCCTAAATCTGTCTGAAAAGCTGTATAAAATGTTTCTCAGACTCGTCGTCCCAGACAATATCAGTATCTTAGAACACTTCAAAGCCAATTACTACCTTTTCCTTCAATCTTGCATTCTGTTATTGTTTGTTATATTCTACTGTTGTTAGGTTTGTTAACTCTCCTTATGTAGTCATGTACTGCATAATGATGTGTCCTGTCAGTCAACAACAGACCACACATACGACAGTGGTCCCTTAAGATTACATTATACTGCATTTCAACTATACCTTTTCTATGTTTAGTTATGTGTAGATACAAAAATACTTACCATTGCGTTACAATTGTCTAGAGTATTCAGTATAGTATAACATGCTGTACAGGTTTGTGGCCTAGAAGCAATAGGCTATTTTACATAGCCTAGGTGTGTAGTAGGCTACACCATCTATGTTTGTGTAGGCACATTTTATGATGTTCACACAATGACAAATCACCTAATTATGCAATTATGCAGATATGTTCTCAGAAGGTATCCATGTTGTTAAGTGACACATGACTATATTTACAAACACACAAGATAGTATTCTTCTTCTTCTTCTTCTTCTTCTTCTTCTTCTTCTTCTTCTTATTATTATTACTATTGAGAGGAAGTCTCACTCTGTTGCTGAGGCTGGAGTGCAGTGGTGTGATCTCAGCTCACTGCAACCTCTGCCTCCTGGGTTCAAGGGATTCTCCCACCTCAGCCTCCCAGGTAGCTGGGATTACAGGCACCCGCCACCACACCTGGCTAATTTTTTGGTATTTTTTAGTAGAGAGGGGGTTTCACCATGTTGGTCAGGCGGGTCTTGAACTCTGGCCCTCAGGTAATCCACCTGCCTTGGCCTCCCAAAGTGCTGGGATTATAGCCATGCGCCACCACACCCGGTCTATTGTTGTTTTATCAGTCAATATTTTAGATTTATTGTGTTTCTTATCTTTATTGTTTTTTCTATGCTTTATCTATTCTCTCATTTTTTAATGACTGAAGTGTTTTGATTTCTCTTTCATCTATTTAGATAGTTGAGATGCCTCAAAATTAATCTTCTGTCCCTGAGAAGTACAGTGTACTTTCAGTCTTTCCTGTTTTCCTAAGGATGTAGCCCTTTGGATTTCCACCCCAAAGTTTAGGGTTATATTAGGCACTTCCATTTTAGGGGTTCTTGAACTCCAGCCCAGGAGTCTGTCAAGGTTTTGCTAACATCTTGTTGTCTCCACTTCACAATCACCTGTCCCATATCCAGCAAAAGCGTCCAGGGGAAAAGTAGCCAAAATGCTGGCCTGTCTGTCTCTTTTCTCTTTCTCCTGGATTTTGGTCCTGTCTTGTTAGCCCTCCAATAACTTTAGCTTTTGTGGTTGTTCAAGCTTTTTTAGTGGTTCTTGGTGTGTGGGTTGGTCTGGATTACCTTCTCTATCATTAGCAGTGTCAGAACTCCTATTTTTAAATTTAACAAAATATTTCAATTTACATGTTTTCATTAACATTTAGAATTAATTTTTATCTATATTCTCTCTCCAGCTGAGAACTTTAGTCTTCTTAATCTCCCATGTACTATATTTTAATCATCTGGAATTTTATTTCCACTATTATATTTTACATTTACCATGTTTTACTGTTTCCCCATTCATCTTTTTTTTTTTTTTCAAAAAATGTATTTCATATCACCTCTTTCTTGGTCTCTGCTATTCAGGTTTGGGCATTCAACAGTGGAATTGGTCATCTCTATTGTGTGGCGTTATCTATGTCATTGGACCTATGCATGGCTTTTAAACTCTCCCGATAACTGCTTTATTTATAATCTCAAGGTAGTGAGCTGGAATAGCTGGGAAAGAAGGCTGACTGAGAGGTTATCATTTTCGTGTAATTGTTAAGAACTTCCTTTTGTAGTGAGAGTCTTTTAGTATTTGTATGGTGTAAAAATATCCACATGACTTATGCTGATTCCAAAAGTTTCATTCACGTATTTCTTCCTCAATTCTTCTTTTCATCAATCTCCCAATATTATTAATTTTCAACATCTACTCTTTTGACAAGTCATTAGCCATTGCCTCTGAAATAATACAGATTCTAGCCAGAGGCATAGTCTTTCTCCAGGCAAAGTAGAGATGTACCACTTGAAATTATGTTCATTTTAAGGTTAAACCTTCTCCACCGTCCTTTAGAGCCACTCTAATTAGGACTTAATGCCACAGCAGTCTACTTCTGATAGAAAAATCAGCAAATTATGTTCAAATCATTTTCTCTCAGCAGACTGATTCACATCAGTGCCCCATGAATCCACAAATGTGGTTTGAGGAAGGATGGAAGTGCAGTGGTCATAGGCATACTGGGAGTGTGAGCTACCTGCTTATGCAGCTTGTGTGTGCCTTCAGGATCTCCTTGGAATGGGTCCTACTTAATGATAGGATTCTGTTAGGCATGCTTGACTTTATAGCCAGGTGGGTCAGATACATCCGTTTTATTATGGGCAGTATAATTGCATGGTCATCCAGCATCCAATAGTAAAGATTCAGTATCTACCACAAACTCCTTATAAGCCAAGAGCTATTTTTCAAAAGGAAAATATTTATATGATGAAAAGTGCACAGCTTTGCTCTAAAAAGGGATTGGCAAACTTTTTCTGTAAAGAGACAAATTATAAATATATTGGCTTTGTGGTCTCCGTCATAACTACTCAACTCTGCTGCTGTAGCACAAAAGCAGTAATGTGTAGTATGCAAATGAATGAGTATTACTGTATTTCCATAAAACTTTATTTGTAAAAACAGCTAGGAGAGCAGATTTGGCCTGTAGAGGTTTTAGTTTGCTAGCCACTGCTCTAGAAACTTGAGATTCTCTGCTGCGATTTTCCTATCAGGGTTTACCAGGGTATACATAGAGCATCCTTTTTGCCTACCAAGAGTTCAAGCAACACTGTAACTTCTGGTGCATAAGCACCAAATGCTTTCCCTGCAATCTGCACTAGACAGATTATTTTATCTCCTTTTGAGATGCTCTGAGGCTGACAGTCTTGGAGCTCACCTGGTAACAGGGTAATAGCAGCGCTTCCAAATGTGGTATTTTTGACCTCCAAAATCTAAAGAAGACAGTGTCTCCCATCTCATTGGTTAGTGTTCAACATGCAGTGACTTCTAGTTTACTTTTCTGTAAACTAAAGTACTAACATGTTGAAACTTCTGGAATTCCAGAAATGTTACTAAGATGGGAGACCATATGGTTTCCTACCATCTAGCCTTCCTAGGTCTTACCAAGGCATCTAAGCAATCTTAAGGTTCTAAACTGTGATGTTACTAATGTAGCGAACCGGTATGATATCTGATGGAATCATGAGAACAACATAATATCTACAGCTTAAATCGTGGCAGAGCAGGGAGAGCTGATAATTCTGAAATAAGTTCGTTAGATGTCCTTGCAGTCTTACCAGGGAAAAGCAAATTGCCTCTGGATTTGTCTGCTTATTTGGATGGAGAGAGAGTGCCATTTGCCATATCAAAAGATATCATACCTGGAATAGTTGATGGAACCATATCTAAAATAGCAGACTGGAATTATAATCTGAATGTACTTCATGTAATGTGCCACTACTCTCTAAGCCCCTTCTCTATTCTATACTTATCAACCTAGACAGTTAAATGTGAATGTCATCAAGAATGACCTACCTGGTATCATTTGTCTTTGGTGATGGCACTATGCTTAGTGATTTTCTTTGTGATGTAGTACTTTCTGTGATTTACCATGTTGGTAGACAGACACACCTCTGAGGAGTTCTACTAATTAGTTAATGTCATATCTTTCTTTCATGTGTCATATTACTTTATCTGTGGGTCACGAATCCACTGTGGGGGTTATTCTAGTTGTTGGGGAACATATGTTCCAAATAGACACTATGATCTGGGGAAATAACCATGGTATGGATTTGGAATCCCAACATGCCTAGTCTAATTTTGAAAAGGGACAATTTTGTAACTAATCCCCATGAGTTTCCTTCTCATCCATGGAGTTTGTTTGTGTTCTGGATCTCTAAGAATTATTGCTGTCTCAGAGCCAGTGCTTAGTAGTCTCTAAATATTTCAGTATCTACCTTTACAAGTATAGTTATTCTTGTAAATGGCAATAGGTATTTTGGGAGAAAGTATAACTTCACTCAAGTATGGAAATTGGAATCGAGATTATGATCTTTTGTTGTAGTAGCTTAAGTCATGTGTCTGTGTCCCAGAGCTAGAGCTTATTCATTTGTACATATCAGGTAGGTTGTTAATGGGTTGTTTATCTCATTCAGAACTTGATACTCCATAATCAATTACCTACAAGCTCGGATTCTGGAGTTTCAGACTATTCTGATTGCCTGCTACCTTGATGCCTTCTATAGAAATTGTGCCCATTTTGTTTTAAGCAGTTAAGTACCACTAATAAATCTCTGCCAAACTTGGAATCTGGTAGACGATTGAAATCATGGGACCTGTTTCTATTGTATCTTCCTTCACTGACACTCAGAATTCACCCATGAGAGCAGTCACAGAGACATTAGCACTCCCTTAACTAATGGCTTTCTCAAACTCTTAATGGGCCCTTGGGGGACTTGGTTAAGTGTCCCTTAAGGGATGCATAAGAGAAGCACACATGAAAAAGAAACTCCAAAATTTCTATTGTCTGTGTGTTTAGATTGCCTTCTCCATATTATATGAAGAAATTTCTGCCATTTCAACTTCATTTAGTGTGGACCACCAATGAGTCCCTATTTCAGTCAACCAGCTAAGCAGACATTCATAAACACTCCCAGAGTCTCTAGCTAACACACGGGATCAGTATTTTATGTTGATAATTTATATGTTTATCTATAGATATGAATATGTTTATATTTATATATGCTTATATATTTATGTGTAAAATATTATAATTTTAGCCCAGTCTAAAGTTAATTTATCCTTAATTATCCCAAAATTCATTATATTATTGACATAAATTAGCAAAATTTTATAATTATTTTGATGTATAAGCCTTTTTCTTCTAGGTTTGACTTTGTAGTTGGCTAGTAGGTATACTGGGATCTGACCGTAGTTAGAAATTTAGAAATATTAAGGGATAGTGAAAGTAGGTATGAAGAGAATTGACATCCTCTTGCAAAACAACTCTCCTGGACAAAGGTTCTTTTTGAGTAAGACAAAAGGGCCTCTATAGACATGGAGGAGGGGCTGCTTCCTCTGGCAAAGGAAATATAGTGAGGTTGAGTATGGAAGGCTACTCTGAGTCTTCTGCATACTCCACTATATCTCCATTGTAATTTTTAGAATTCTGATTTTTATTGACCAATGTTCTTACTTTCATATAAGAAATTAGTTAAGGCTTTGACTTGAAATGATTTTTAATTTAGCAGTCTATTTGACCAAATTTTGTATTTGATTTTTATACATTCAGCTTCAACCTTTTAGCTACAGCAGAGAAGAGATTATTTTCAAGCACGGAAAGTCCCACGTTTCAGTTTGTGCTTTAAGATTATGATTTAAAACTTTGAGACTGTCACTCTAATGTTATATTTCATGCTATTCAGTACTATGAGAAACCACCCTATTTCACAGCCATTAATTTTTTAGGCTATATAAGATATTCTATAATAGTGAGTCTTGTTCCCTCCAGAGGTTTGCATAGATGATAATTTAATAAAAATGTTATCATTACATGCCACTTGTTACCAGAGTCTCCTCCATTAATACTACTGAATTTCATTGTCTTCTCTCCCAATTTGGCTAGATAACCAGTCTTAGATTTCCATTTACCAACCACATAGACCACAACACAGGAATGGACTCTAGCTGAAAAATGCTAAAAAGAAATTTATTAAAAAGGTATCAGATGGCTTATGTAAGCACTAGAAGAGAAGGAGAATTAATTTCAGAGACATCATATTCAGGGAAAACATAAAATAACTCATGGTGACTGGTTATCTAAGAACTGGTCTACCTTTCTTCTGTCACAGGGTGCTAGATGCCACTGTTTTCACTACTGCCATGCTGCCAGAAACCTTGATCATGTTGCAACCACCACTTCTTCCCTAGAGCATTATCTTAGCCAAGCTTTAGTATTACTGGTTTCCAATTCAAAGTTCAGGATGGGAGAGTCTAATTATTATTTGCCTGTATCATGTGTCTACGTCTTAGATGTAAAGAAGTTTGAAAATTGAGTTTTAGGCATTTTCATCTTCAAATTTTAATTTCCACCTATACTCACAAGGAAGAAAATCTCCTAAGCTATTTGAGGGATTCAGGCATCCTTCTCCAATTCCTTCCTACCTTCCTTCTTTCCTTCCTTCCTTCTTTCCTTCCTTCCTTTCTTCCCTCCCCTCCCCTCCCCTCCCCTCCCCTCCCCTCCCCTCCCCTCCCCTCCCCTTCCCTTCCTTTCTTTTTCCCATTCCTCTGAATTGGTAAGAGTTTTCCTACAGTCATATAAGTGCTTAGAACATGTCAATAGGAAAAGCTGTGCACGCCTTTATTTTTTTTTTCCTTGTCTGCTGATAAGATAAGCTCAACTCCATTCAGAGTATTTCTCTTTGGGGAGAGCAGGTTTTCCTTTTTGTCCTTCCCATCAAAATCTCTTGTGGAAGATTTGCCTCCATGTGCTCTTATGTTATTAGGGCATTATTCCTATTCAGGCAAATGGTTTATTTTTAGAGGCCATTTATTAGATTATATCCACAAGTAAAACATTCAGTCTGTTTGGTAATGAGTAGAGGAAAGATGTGACTAGGTTAGCTGTTCTTAATACAGCCCTGTAGAAGAAGCTGCTTTGTGTTTAACCCAAGACCTATATCCTCTCCAATTTGGGCTTAGAATTAGACATTTCCCAGATTTCCTTCTAGTTAGATGGGACCATGCGACTATATTCTGAACAATGGAATGTGGATGAAAGTAATGTGCACCATTTTAACCCATTATGCATAATCCTCCGTGTTCTTTTCCTCATCTGGCTGGCTAGAATGGAAATGTCATCCAAGATGTTGAAACTGGCAGAGTCATGGTATAGGAAGAGAAAGCATGGAAAATGACTCTGGGTCATTAGAACTCTCCTATGATTTCAGATCAATCACATACATCTTGTAATGTCTTGTATCTATTTATTCTAGATTCCTGGTTCCTGACTACTTTAACTTACGTTTGGTAACTTTTTTCAAATATTATCCCCTGTGATTGTATTCCTTATGGCTATTCCTAATATTTTTTCCCTGTTTGATTACTACTAGTCTTTCTTTTTCCTGTTTGTCTTCTATGAACTGTAGATTTTCCAACTATCTCCTAGATCCCTAAATTCTGGTATCTATTTGATTATAATATCTACTTTTCTACTCCATGAGATTCCAATATCATAAATGAAAACTCACTCCAAAAACCTTAATAGCCTACTGTAAATCAATACAGCAAAAATGAATGCTATAACAATTTTATGGGCATAGATTCAGAAAAAATATTTTCTATTCTTATTATTCCTCCATATGACCAGTGTGACGTAGAGTCTTCAACATCACAATGAAATTATAGGATAGTTCTCTTCTTGGAAGCTATTTTCTATTGAAACTTTTTTTAAAAGCTGTATTTAATAAAGGCCAATCTGAATGCCTCTATATGAAATGTATGATTTAAGGGTGAAAGATGGAATTATCATTATATTTTCACGTTTATGTACTTCAGGCCTTATAAATAAAGCTGAGTGGTTTTGTAACCTTGCCAATTCTTAATACTGAGTTGATTAAAGTGGTAGGTGATTTCTTACTTTTTATCTTTTTAGTGCCAGAAGGATTTGGCTATTAAATTGGGATATATTTAAAGCTATTTATTTGTTAGGAACACCAAGAGTAGATAGGAATACCCAAAGTTTCTCTCTCTCTCTCTCTCTCTCTCTCTCTCTCTCTCTCTCTTTGCTTCATAATGCCATATCACATAGAAAATGGTCCCTCATCGTCCTCTTGAAGGCAGGGAGAAAGCCCTCCAGAAAATAAAGACATTAAAGAGTTTTCTGAATATACACTATAGTTAAGGGCTGTTTGTATTAATATTTTTCTTTTCAGAGCATAAATGTCATTGGAAATCTGATTCCCCTTCTCTCCACCACCCACTCTTCTGCTGATAATAGCTATAACTGAAGGGAGAGTGGGTAAAGGCTAACAACATCAGGTAATGATAAACTCCTATTATTTATTCTACAGTGATAAACTAAAAGATAGCAAGTGCTGTTCACTTCTCCATGCAAAGAGGATTCAAGTAAGTAGTCTTGGATACAAAGCACAAATATAATGGATTTCTTTTGCTAAATAGAATGTTCCCAAGTAATATTTAGCAATAAATAGGTTCTTTATATTTCTTTGTAGCCTTTGCTTATTCGAAAGGGTGAAGTAGGGTTAAAGAATACTGGAGTTTATTGCTGGAAGAATATCTTTTAAATAAAAATGATGTAATTACAACCTCATATGAAGCTTTTGAATGTCAATTATCAAGTGACTGAATTTCTCTTTGTTCATTCAATATTGTTTGAGATTTTATGTACGTCAATGAGGAACTTACAATTTCCAGGTTCCACGTCGCATCATGTATCTCTTTTGTGTGAATTAACACACTAAATTAATACATAAGGTGACAATTTAAACTGTACACCAGTGAGGTTAGGGACATGCTTTCCTAGAATTACTGAAAACCTCTAAACACTTAGCACTGTGCAATTCTCAAAATGTGTACTTCATAAATGCACTTTGGGGTGGAGTGGAAACATGGAAAACGTATGGTGTGAATATGTAACTTTTTTTGGCATTCTTGATGTTAAAATTTCTTCATTAAAAATAATATGCTGTTTGAAAACATATTTATGAAACTTGTGTTGAGTTGATAAAGTTATATGAGGAGTTCAGATACTATGCTCAATTTAAATATTTTAGTCAAGCTAAAAACAGAGTACAACATTTAAAACACACACATTGTAGTTTGAGGAAATATAATAAACCAACATGTGCCTTCTTTTATTTTTGGTGAAAATTTATGGTATGAATTTTGTCTAAAATGTTTGAGAGCTATGAGGAAAACCATATATACTTATAAATTAGATCCACTTGGGAAGGACAGTAATGCCATATTACTTTGGTTTTACTGATATGGTTTTTGGCTTTCAACTAGAAGCTTCCTCAGATCTGAAAAAGAGCCTTTGTTGAGAAAAATTTCTTAACTGTATATTTGAATCTATTATTTTTAGCAAAGGCCAGCCTTTACTGATGCAGTTTAGATAATTGAGAAATAAAAGAGAAATTAGAACTTCTTTCTTGAAATAATTAAGATAATATAGTTATTTGTAAAAATGGATTCAGATGGCTGTTTTATTAAATTAATCCAGTTCACAATTGGTAATGAAGGGCAATAATTAGTCATTATTTGGAAATAAGAAAACATTAGAGGAAAAATTAAGAGGATAACACAAAAGACAGTTATTGTGTAAATACTTGTGAAAGAGCATTTCTCAACACCCCTGAGAAATTCTTCCTGAATGACATGCTTCGCCCAAGAGGTAGATGATTAATACTAATGTACAGCTTTTCAAGTAAATATTTTATTTTTGACCATAGGCTCTCACGTATCATTTTGTTTTAGGGAATATTGTCTTACTCTAGGAAATATACCTGTTGGAAGGATCATTTTTCTTATAAGTGATTTTAGTAAG
Source organism: Homo sapiens (assembly GCF_000001405.40). Lineage (NCBI taxonomy): Eukaryota > Metazoa > Chordata > Mammalia > Primates > Hominidae > Homo > Homo sapiens. The sequence continues at coordinate 198,991,459 of NC_000002.12, read as the reverse complement.
AACTTTAAAACTGTACCAAATCAACTATGTAAGAGATTTCTACAAATCTGAACATGTTTCATTCACGTTCATATGTTTTTGAATACTCATCTAAGGCAGAAAACCAGGGCGATTATATTGTGGATGGAGATCCTGAGAAGACTACTGTCTCTGGATATCCTATTAAAATGTTAACTAACAGGCCGGGTGCGGTGGCTTACATCTATAAATCCCAGCACTTTGGGAGGCCAAAGTGGGTGGATCACTTGAGTTATGGAGTTTGAAACCAGCCTGGTCAACACAGTGAAACCCCATCTCTGCTAAAAATACAAAAAATTAACCAAGTGTGGTGGCACATACCTGTATTCCCAGCTACTTGGGAGGCTGAGGCCCAAGAATTGCTTGAACCCAGGAGGCAGAGAGTGCAGTGAGTTGAGATCATGCCAGTGTACTCCAGCCTGGGTGACAGATTGAGACTGTGTCTCAACAACAACAAAATCAATGTTAGCTAACAAAAAGACAGTGCAATTTCTCAGAAAATAATCTTCCCTTGTAAATAATACAAAAGTTAGTAAACCTGTTTCAGAAAGCACATGAGCCATTAATTATTATCATAACTAAAAGTAGAGAACCCTTGAGTACAGTGAATTTCAATACTTACATAATGTCCATCTTAGAGAAAATAGTGGACTGTTTCCTAGAAATAAAGTGATGATTTTAAACATAAATTGAAGTAGAAATAAATATCTTACTCTAATAGATATGAATTTTTTCTATTACCCCTGAAAAAAAAAAGAGCCACCTTTCTACTTCCCGTAGTAGGTCAACTGCTTCTTCCCTGAACCCTAGATTTTCTCACATTCTCAGAAGTTTGCATCGCTGGTCCGTGAGCCTATTCTTCGAAAAAGCAATTCACCTGGGACCAGGAAAGCTTAAAAACAGGAAACAAAAGCTTGCTTATTCTTCTAGGATAGAGGGTAAGGGGCAAATTGTTTTCAGTATTTTGAGTTACTTACAATAAAGACAACCAAGGCAGCAATTATTTCAGCGGATTATCCTTCTGTAATTACTTTCAAAGACAAGTCAGTTGCAGGTATACTATCTATGTTAAAACTGGATAAGAATATAGGGCAATACAAAACAATAATTCCCAAATGCTCTCAAGCATTACTAAGCAGACACCAGATACTTAGTGGGTCACTTATTTTTATGGGGTTTGGTTGCATTGCAATAGTATGATTATTTTGCCATTGTTTTATTAACTTGGCAGAATTTTGCAAAATTGTACCACTTAAAAATTTTGCAAAGTGATTTTAGTAAGAACTTTAAATCTGTACCAAATCAACTAGAGTACAAAATGTACTCTGAAGACTTTTAGTAATGAATGGAAATGAAGAGGAAAGCACGTTGTTATTTCTGATGGAATTGAGAGTATATAAAATGCATTCTCTTTCTTACTTTGGATAGGAATGAAAGGCTTAGGGGGCAACATTTAGAAACCATAGTGTAAAAATTTTATTAGATTTGAAAATTCTTCCAAATTTAAGTGTGATATCTTCAAGAAATGAAGATTGCAGAGATTTAATATATTTGATATCCTACTTACCACCCCAGAATGAGGTGAAATCAGTTAAGATCATCATCCTTTACTTCCTGAAAACTAAGTTAGCATGGTCCAGAGACCAGGAGTGTTAATGACTGCAGTCAGTTGGGATTTAGAGTAAAAGTAAAGTAAACATTCATTCTGGATTCAAGTTGGAAGAGCGATACCATGTTCATGTAGGCTTGTGCTGTGAAGAAAAGGCAGTGTTGGTGAACATAGCCTGTAAAGGTGTTTTAAAAACCTATTTCAGTATACATGCTAGGTTATGTTTATATTCCAATTTCAGGGATCTCTTAAGAGCAGGCTTCAACTGTATAATGCCTAATACATAAAGCATGTGCTTCTGAATGCCCTTTCTATATTGTTTAAAGGATTATCCACCACCAGCTCTTTTATCTATGACATTTGCGTAGACCAAGGGCAGTGGGACCTGCACAGTGACACCAAATTTGTCACATTCACCTGCAGAAGGATGCTTTTAGCAGCCTTTTCCTCTTGATGTGAATTAGAAATTTGCCCCTTTTTTTCTTTTCCTTCTTTCCTTTTTTTCCCCCATCTTGTTTGCACTGATATTTGTTTTGGTTACTTTAATGCAACTAATGGATTTAGAGTCACTTAATTTTTCTCTGTATTGTTGATATTTGTTACTGTTTCACCTGAATTGGAATGAAGTCTTTAAATTTATTTGATAAAAATATAGAGAGGTCTCTGTGTATAGTTTAGCTAACATCCACTTTCACCAAAAGGTATTTTTCACATGCTTGAAGCTATGAAAACTTTTGTAGGACATTTGTGAGAAATGTAAGACAGGAGAACTGCATCAGGAGCTTAAAATTTGTTATCAAGAGAATTTAGAACAGTTTGAAAACAGAGTGTAGTAAATGACTCAAAATGTTCAGTATTCGGTACTCAGGTCTTAATATAGAATCTCCAAAGAGAAGGTCAGTTGGAATTTGAATATCAAGGAAGCCTTCGTGAGGGGGTTTTTATCTCACCATCACAAACTGGGACAAAAATAAAGAAAAACAATAGGAATAAACATACACAATGCATCCTTCTAAAATTTAGTGTTTCTCTTTTGTTTTATTTTTTCCATTGATTTTTATTCATTAGGACCTAACTGATATTTCTGTCTTTATTGAAAAAAACATGCCGGGGGTTGAATCATACCATAACAAGGTGACCTTTTATTCTTAGGCAAAAGTCTGCAATTTCTTATGTCACTAAAATGGGTCATTCCATTTCTTTTCCTAAAATCTTGTGATATTGTTAGGCTCCTAGTGAGGGACACTGAAATAATGAAGATTTGTGAGTGAATAGTGGCAAAGCAGCGAATTAAATTTCTAAGATTTACTCTCTTTCAGAATGCTAAGTTATCATCTCCACTGAGGTAGGGATGAGACAACATGATGAGTATGGAAGTACAGATGGTTAATTTATTCAACAAATATTGTGTACTTTGTACTTTATTTTTGCTGGTTACTTTGATTGGCACAGAGATGACCATGATGGGACTTTTCTTTGAGAAGTTCACTGTCCAGTTCACTTTCCTAAATCATAGCTGAAAAAACTAATGTCCAGATAGGTGATGAGACTTTTTCATGATTATGCCGATGATTAATAACATGTAAGGAACTCTAATACTTCTCCTCCATTTAGGGAGATGGAAGAAGCACATGATTTCATTCTCTTTTTCATGGACTAACATAAACTAGGAATATACAGTTAGCCACACTACTACCAAATGGCACCAGTGAATAGAGTTTCTATATTACCCAGCTTGGCAGAAACCAGGAGGATGGCCCACAATTTCCAATCTAATGAATGAATAATATCACATAATAGTATTGCTGCTGTTGTTCTGTCCTCTCAAATTCTATTAATGTTTTATATGTCCTAATGCATTCATTTCCTTGGGCTGCTATAATAAATCACTACACACTTAGTGGCTTAGGAGAACACAAATGTATTATCTTACAGCTCTTGGGGTCAGAAGACTAAGATGGGCCTCACTCAACTAAATCAGAGCTCTGTTCCTTTATGGAGGCTTTAGGGAAGAATCCTTTTTTTGTTTTTTTTCTCCTTTTCCACTTTCCAGAGGATTTGAATTTCCTGGCTTATGACCCCTTCCATCTGAAAGCCAGCAAAGGCCAATCTAATATTTTTCACACAGCATCACTCTGACATTGACTCTTGTTCTCCTCTTCGACATTTGAGCATCTTTGTGATTACATTGGACACCCAAACAATCCAGGAAAATCTTTCTATTTTATTTTATTTTTTTATTTCTTGCATTTCTTTTTTAACTTTTATATTAGGTTCAGGGGTACATATGTAGGTTTGTTATATAGATAAACTTATGTCATGAGGGTTTGTTGTACAGATTATTTTGTCACCCATTATTTGTCACTAGTGTGCAATAGTTATTTTTTCTGATTCTCTCTCTTTTATTACCCTCGACCCTCAAGCAGGCCCCAGTGTCTGTTGTTCCTCTCTTTGTGTCCATGTGTTCTTATCATTTAGCTCACACCTGTAAGTGAGAACCTGCAGTATTTGGTTTTCTGTTCCTATGTTAGATGGCTAAGGATTATGACTTCTGCCAAGGACATGACCTTGTTCTTTTTTATGGCTGCGTAGTATTCCATGGTTATATGTACCACATTTTCTTTCTCTAGTCTACCACTGATGGGCATTTAGGTTGATTCCATGTCTTTGCTAATGTGAATAGTGCTGCAATGAACATACGTGTGCATGTGTCTTTATGGTAGAATAATTTATATTCCTCTGGGTATATACCCCGTAATGGCATTACTGGGTTGAGTAGTAGTTCGCCTTTAGGTTTTTGAGGAATCACCATGCTGCTTTCTGCAATGGTTGAACTAATTTGTGTTCACATAAACAATGTATACACATTCCATTTTCTCTGCAACCTCACTTGCGTCTGTTATTTTTTGACTTTTTAATAATAGCCATTCTGACTTGTGTGAGATAGTATCTCATTGTGGTTTTGATTTGCATTTCTTTGATTTTTTTTTCACATGATTGTTGGCTGCATGTGGTTTTGCTTTGTATCTCCACCAAAATCTCATCTGAAATGTAATCCTCACATGTCAGGGGAGGGTCCTAGAGGGAGGTGATTGCATCCTGGGAGCAGAATTCTCCCATGCTGTTTTCGTGATAGTAGGTGAGTTCTCATGAGATCTGGTTGTTGAAAAGTGTGTGGTACTTCTCCCTTCTCTCTCTCTCTCCTGCCCCACCATGACAAGATGTGCTTGCTTTCCCTTCAGCTTTCACCATGATTGTTAGTTTCATGAGGCCTTCTAGCCATGCTTCCTGTATAGCCTATGGAACTGTAAGTCAATTAAATGTTTTTCCTTCATAAATTACCCAGTCTTATGTAGTTCTTTATAGCAGCGTGAGAATGAACTAATACAGAAAAATTCGGTATCAGGAGTGGGACACTGCTGTAAAGATATCTGAAAATGTGGAAGCAACTTTGGGACTGGGTAACGGGCAGAGGTTGGAACAGTTTGGAGGGCTCAGAAGACAGGAAAATGTGGGAAAGTTTGGAACTTCCTAGAGAATTGTTGAATGGTTTTGACCAAAATGGTAACAGTGATATGGACAATGAAGGCTGAGGTGGTCTCAGATGGAGATTGGAAACTTACTGGGAATTGGAACAAAGGTTACTCTTGCTGTGCTTTAGCAAACAGTCATGGAATTTTGCCCCATCCTAGGGATCTGTGGAACTTTGAACTTGAGAGGGATGATTTAGAGTATCTGGCATAAGAAACTTCTAAGTAGCAAAATATTCAAGATTTAACCTGGCTTTTTCTGAAAGCGTACAGTCATATGCATTCACAGAGACATGATTTGAAACTGGAACTTATGTTTATAAGGGAAGAAGAGCAAAAAAGTTTCGAAAATTTCCAGCCTGACCATGTGGTAGAAAAGAAAAACCCATTTTCGGGGTTGAAATTTAAGCTGGCTGTAGAAATTTGAATATGTAAAGAGAAGCCAAATATTAATAGCCAAGACAATTGGGAAAATATCTCCAGGCCATTTTAGAGATCTTCATGAGAGCCCCTGCCATCACGTGCCTGGAGGCATAGGAGGGCAAAATGCTTTCCTGGGCTTGGCTCAGGGACCAGCTTCTCTCTGCAGCCTCAGGACATGGCATTTGGCATCCCAGCCTCTCCAGCTCTAGTTGTGGCTGAAAGGGGCAAAGGTACAGCTTGGTCTGTGGCTTCAGAGGGTGCAAGCCCTAGGGCTTGGTGGCTTCCACATGGCATTGGAACTATGGGCACACAGAAGGCAATAGTTGAGGTTTGGGAACCTCTGCTTAGATTTCAGAGGATGTATGAAAACACCTGGATGTCCAGGCAGAAGTCTTCAGGGGTGAAGCCCTCATGGAGAACCTCACTAGGGCAATGCAGAGGGGCAATGTGAGTTGGATCTCCCACACAGAATCCTCACTGGGGCACTGCCTAGTGAAGCTGTGAATAGAAGGCCACCATCTTCCAGACCCTGGAATGGTAGATCCACCAACAGCTTGCACCATGGACCTGGAAAAGCTTCAGGCATTCAACACTAGTCTGTGAAAGCAGATGCAGGGGCTGCACCCTTCTGAGCCACAGGGGTAGAGCTCCCCATGGTCTTGGGAGCCCACCTCTTGCATCAGCATGGCCTGGATGTGAGATATAGAATCACAGGAGATTATTTTGGAGCTTTAAGATTTCATGATTGCCCTGTTGGGTTTCAGACTTGCATGGGGCCTGTAGCCCCTTTGTTTTGGCCAATTTCTCCCATTTTGAATGGAAATGTTTACCCAATGCCTATACTCCCATTGTATCTTGGAAGTAACTAACTTGTTTTTGATTTTATGGGCTCATCAGTGGAAGGCACTTACCTTGTCTGAGACGAGACTTTGGACTGTGGACTTTTGAGTTAATGCTGAAATGAGTTAAGACTTTGGGGAACTGTTGGGAAGGTATGATTGTCTTTGAATTGTGAGAAAGACATGAGATTTAGGAGAGGTCAGGAGCAGGAATGATATGGTTTGGCCTTATGTCCCCACCCAAATCTCATCTCGAAATATAATTCCCACACGTCGCAGGAGGGGCCTGGTAGGAGGTGACTGAATCATGGAGGTGGACTTACCCCTTGCTGTTCTTGTGACACTGAGTGGATTCTCACAAGATCTGGTTGTTTGAAATGTGTGGCACTCCCCCCTTCTCTCTTGCTCTCTCTCTCCACCATGATAAAATGTGCTTGCTTTTTCTTCACCTTACACCATGATTGTAAGTTTTCTGAGGCCTCCTAGCCAGGCTTTCTGTATTGCCTACAGAACTATGAGTCAATTAAACCTCTTTTCTTCATAAATTGCACAGTCTTAGGTAGTTCTTTATAGCAGTGTGAGAACAGGCTAATACAGTTCCTTAGAGATGCTTGATATTAGATCTTGGTCAGATGCATAGTTTACAAAATTTTCTCCCATTCTGTAAGTTGTTTACTCTGTTAATAGTTTCTTTTGCCGTGCAGAAGCTCTTTAGTTTAATTAGATCCCATTAGTCAATTTTTTCTTTTATTACAACTGCTTTTGGCATCTCCATCATGAAATCTTTGACTGTGCCTATGTTCTGAATGGTATCGCCTAGGTTGTCTTCCAGGATTTTTATAGTTTTGAGTTTTGCACTTAAGTCTTTAATCCATCTTGAGTTAATTTTTGTATATGGTGTAAGGAAGGGGTCCGGTTTAAATTTTCTGCATATGGCTAGCCAATTATCCCAGCACCATTTATTAAATAGGGTGTCCTTTCCCTATTGCTTGTTTTTGTCAGATTCGTCAAAGATCAGATGGTTGTAGGTGTGTGGTCTTATTTTGGGGCTCTCTATTCTGTTCCATTGATCTATTTTCTGTTTTTGTACCAGTACCATTCTGTTTTGGTTACTGTAGCTCTGTAGTATAGTTTGAAATCAAGTAATGTGACACCTCTAGCTTTGTTCTTTTTGCTTAGGAATGCCTTGGCTATTCAGGCTCTTTTTTTGTTCCTTATGAATTTTAAAATTGTTTTTTTTTTTTTAGTTCTGTGAAGAATGTCATTGGTAGTTTGATAGGAATTGCCTTAAATCAGTAAGTTGCTTTGGGCAGTATAACAATTTTAATGATATTCATTCTTTGTATCCATGAGCATAGATTGTTTTTCCATTTGTTTGTGTCATCTCTGATTTCTGTGAGCAGTGTCTTGTAATTCTCCTTGTAGAGATCTTTTATCTCCATAGTTAGCTGTATTACTAGGTATTTTAATTTTTTGTGTGTGGCAATTATGAATGAGATTGCATTCTTGATTTGGCTCTTGGCTTGGCTATTGTTGCCAAATAAGAATGCTAGTGATTTCTGCACATTAATTTTGTATCCTAAAACTTTGCTGAAGTTTATCAGCTGAAGGAACTTTTGGGCTGAGACTATGGGGTTTTCTATATGTAGAATCATGTCATCTGCAAACAGGGATAGTTTGACTTCCTCTCTTCCTCTTTGGATGACCTTTATTTCTTTCTCTTGCCTGATTTCTGTGGTCTGGACTTCCAATACTATGTTGAATAGGAGTGGTGAAGAGGGCTTCCTGTCTTGTGCTGGTTTTCAAGAGGAATGCTTCTAGCTTTTTCCCATTCAGTATGATGTTGGCTATGGGTTTGCCATAGATGGTTCTTATTATTTTGAGATATGTTTGTTTAATACCTAGTTTACTGATAGTTTTTAACTATCACTATTTAACATGAAGAGATGTTGACTTTTAACAAAAGCCTTTTCTGCATCTGTTGAGATAATCATGTGGTTTTTGTCTTTAGTTCCATTTATGTGATAAATCACATTTATTGATTTGTGTATGTTGAACCGACCTTGCCTCCCAGGGATAAAAACTACTTGATCATGGGGAATTAGTTTTTGATGTGCTACTGGACTTGGTTTGCCAGTATTTGTTGAGGATTTTTGCATCAATGTTCATCAAGGATGTTGACCTGAAACTTTTGTTGTTGTTATTATGTCATTGCCAGGTTTTGGTATCAGGATGATGCTAGCCTTACAGAATGAGTCGAAGTGAATTTTTTGGAATAGTTTCAGTAGGAATCATACCAGCTTTTCTTTGCACATCTGGTAGAATTTAGCTATAAATCCATCTGGTCCTGGGCTTTTTTTAGTTGGTAGGTTATTTATTACTGATTCAATTTCAAAGTTCATTATTGGTCTCTTCAGGGAATCCATTTCTTCCTGGTTCAGTCTTGGGAGGGTGCATGTGTCTAATAATTTATCCATATCTTCTAGGTTTTGTAGTTTGTGTGCCTAGAGTTGTTCATAGTAGTCTCTGATTGTTATTTTTATTTATGTGGGGTCAGTGGTAACATCCCTTTTGCTGTTTCTAGTTGTATTTATTTGGATCTCCTCTCTTTTCTTCTTTATTAGTCTAGCTAGTAGCCTATCTTATTAATTTTTTTTCAAAAAAAGTCTGGATTTATTGATCTTTTGTTTGTGTGTCCATCTTCTTCAGTTCAGCTCTGATTTTTATTGTTTTGTGTTAGTCTGTTTTCACACTACTGTAAAGACCTATTAATACTAGAGACTGGGTAATTTATGAAGATAAAACGTTTAATTGATTCACAGTTCTGTATGGCCAGGGAAGCCTCAGGAAATTTTTGAATTTTTTGTGTGCATCCATCTTCTTCAGCTCAGCTCTGATTTTTTTTTTGTATTAGTCTGTTTTCACACTGCTATAAAGAAATATTAATATCCAAGACTTGGTAATTTATGAAGAAAAAATATTTAATTGATTCACAGTTCTGTATGGCTGGGGAAGCCTCAGAAAATTTACAATCATGGCAGACAATGAGGGGAAAGCAAGGACCTTCTTCACATGGTGGCAGGAGAGTGAGCGAGCATGGGGGAAACTGCCACACACTTGTAAAGCATCAGGTCTTGTGAGAACTCACTCACTATCATGAGAACAACATCGAGGAAACTGCTCCCATGATCCAATAACCTCCCACCAGGATCCTCTCTTGACATGTGGGGATTACAATTCAATATGACATTTGGGTGGGGACACAGAGGCAAACCATGTCATTCTTCGGCTGGCTTTGGGATTGGCTAGGTTTTCATTTTCTAATTCTTTAGTTGTGATGTTAGGTTGTTAAATTGAGATCTTTCTCTTTGATGTGGGCATTAGTGCTATAAATTTCCTCTTAGTATTGCCTCAGCTGTGTTCCACACATTCTGGTATGTTGTACCTTTATTTGGTTAGTAATCTCAATTCTATCTGTAATCTTAATTCCTCTGTGCCACGTAAAATGATATATTGGTTGGTTCTATCTTTGATTAACAATCTTAGTTCTACCTGCACTCTTAATTCACTTGTGCCATGTAAAATAAATATTTGTAGGTTCTAGAGTTTAGGACATAGTGATAGTTACCTCTGGGTGACCATTATTTCACCAACCACATCTACTGATGCAATTATTCAAATGGACTGAATGATACTTTGAACTCTTTCTTGCTTCAGACATGTAGTCTTCTGACACAGGTCCAAGTAGTGCAGGTGAATTGAAGACTAAATAGCTTCCCACTGATAAATCAAGAGCTACCTTTTTTTTTTACTTTAGATGCACATTGTATAGACATCTCCTAGATCTTACCACATAACTTGTCTCTTACATTAGATCAATATTTATCATTCTTGTTATCACTGACATTTTGGGCTGGATAATTATGTGCAGTGGAGTCTATCCTATATATTGTAGGCTGTCTAGCAGAATCCCTGGCCTCTACCTACTAGATGCCAGTAGCATCCTCGAACCCCTTCCCAAATGTTACAACACAAAATATCTTTGGACTTTGCCAAATGTCCCCTGGGGGCCCAAATCATCCTTGGCTAGAAGTCACTGCTATGGACTATAAATGTCTTTAGTTCAGGGGCCACAGTTTTATATCACTGGAATCCCTAATCCAGTGCCTTGCACATAGTATGTACCTAGTGAATGTTAGTTAAACAACTGACTGGAAATCTCAAAATTAATCACTATCACTACAGAAATAGTAGGATTTCTTAATTCTATAATAGATATTTAAAATACAATTGGGGACTAAATTCCACAAAATATTGTACAATATACTGTAGTCAGTTTGAGTAGATACTCTAAACTTGAGAAAACTCATTGTCATAATGGGTAGCATTTAGCAAACCCTTACTTCATGCCTGATATGCTATACCATATTTAATCCATATAACTGGGACTTTCCTTAGACTTGGGCAAAAGGAGCCTGAGGTTTGAGTCCTGTATTTTAGAGATCCCTGAACATCACAAGTATAAAAACAAAACAAAAACAAAACAGATAATACCTTTGTTATATTCTTTGGCACCTTTGATGTTAGATTTACTGTTAGATTAGATCAAGGACAGGCACTCATCGAGGACACTGCATGGGCCTTTAGCTTTGAACATCTGCTCTCACAACTCTAGAGCAATGTTTTTCCACATATCCTCTCTGTGTCTCTGATTTGAATGATGGTGCTTCCAGTGCTGGGAGGATGTGTTGATTGTGCTGCTATTGACCTCAGAGATGAGCCATGGTTTAGAGTATGGGAAGAATTTAAGTGGTAGAAAGATTCAGATAAGAGAAAAGACACTGATTTTGAGTCAATATGTAAAAAATTAATAAAACATTTCCCCACAGAGATCATGAGTGCAAAGATTTTTGCATAATAAACATTGTTCCCCAGAAGTATTGACCTTCATCTTTTTCTTTTTGTGTTCTGATTAGTGGTTTCAGCAGTACTCATCAACTGGCACAGATTGATGTAGCCCTTGCATTTGGCAACACTTTTCCATAAAAACAATGTACATCACTATTAATTTTGTGTGCATATATACCTTTATTCTCTAGCTGTAACATAATGAAATATAATATTCTTTTTATTGGCAAGTAGATAGACTAAAAATTAGAATTTTGGAATAGGTTTATTAAAATTATTTAATAATTATTATATTTTTTAAAATAAAAATATTCATTTCTATGAAATAATTGTAATGTATAAGTTTGGTACCTGTTAGTATCAATTTTAATTGGTAAGAAAATGTTAGAAGGAAACAACTATTAAAAAGGTGAAAAGTCATTTTTATTTCTTATTTTTATATTTTAATGTATACAGTCTAATAAAATATATTTAGATTTTGTACATACTTTGAATTTAATTATATGTCATTTAAAAAATTCCTTAGATCATTATGGTCAATAGAAAGTAAATTATGTAATTGTCTTGACCTTTTATTTTGTTTTTATATGTTCTTTAATTTTTTAAAAATTTTAATAGCTTTAGGGGTACAAGTGGTTTTTGGTTACACAGATGAATTTTATAGTGGCAAAGTCTAGGATTTTAGTGCACCCATCATCTGAGTAGTGTACTTTCTACCCAGCAGATAGTTTTTCATCCCTCATCTTCCCTTCTACTATCCTCTCTTCTGAGTCTCCATTGTCCTTTACACCACTCTGTATGCCTTTGTGTACCACAGCTTAGCAACCATTTGTAAGTGAGAACATGTAATTTTCATTTTTGGTTTCTGAGTTATTTCACTTAGAATAATGGCCTTCAGTTCCATCCAAGTTGCTGCTAAAGATATTATTTCATTCTTTGTTATGGCTGAATAGAATTCCATGGTGTATAGGTATATACATATATACCACATTTTCTTTATCCACTCATTGGTTGATGGGTACTTAGGTTGATTCCATGTCTTTGCAATTGTGATTTGTGCTGTGATAAACATATGCATACAGATGTCTTTTGATATAATGACTTCTTCCCATTTGCATAGATACCCAATAGTGGGACTGCTGAATTGAATAGTAGATCTACTTTCACTTCTTTGAGAAATCTCCATACCATTTTACATAGACGGTGTACTAACTTTCATTCCCACCATCAGTGTGTAAGTGTTTCTTTTTTATCACATCCATACCAACATCTATTGTTTTTTGACTTTTTAATAGTTGACATTCTGGCTGGGGTACAGTGGTGTCTCACTGTAGTTTTAATTTGCATTTCCCTGATGATTAATGATGTTGAACATTTTTTCATACGTTTGATGGCCATTTGTATGTCTTCTTTTGAGAAATATATATTCTTGCCCTTTGCCCCCTTTTTATGGAGATTTTTTGTTTTATTCTTGATGATTTGTTTGAGTCCCTTATAGATTCTGGATATTAGTCTTTTGTCAGAGGCATAATTTACAAATACTTATCCCATTCTGTAAGTTGTCTCTTTACTGTAATGATTATTTCTTTTGCTGTGCAAAGCCTTTTACTTTAGTTAGGTCCCATTTATTTATTTTTGTTTTTGTTGCATTTGCTTTTGGGGTTTTAGTCATAAATTATTTGCCTAAACCAATGTTCAGAAGAGTTTTTCTTTGGTTTTCTTCTAGAGTTTTTATGGCATCAGGTCTTATATTTAAATCTTTAATCCATCTTCAGTTAATTTTTGTATATAGTGAGAGATAGGGCGCCAGTTTCATTCTTCTACATTTGGCTATCCAATTTTCCCAGCACCATTTATTGAATAGGGTGTCCTTTGCCCAAATTATGTTTTTATATGCTTTGTCCAAGATCAGTTGGTTGTATTTGGCTTTATTTCTGGGTTCTCTATTCTGTTCCATTGGTCTATCTATCCACTTTTATATTAGTACCACAGTGTTGTGGTTACTACAGTCTTGTAGCATAATTCGAAGTTGGGTAATGTAAAGTTTCCACATTTATTCTTTTTGCTTAGGATTTATTTGGCTATTCAGGCTCTTTTTTGGATCCATATAAATTGTAGGATTGTTTTTTCTAGTTCAGTGAAAAATGATCTTGGTATTTTGATAGAAATTGCATTTAAGTTACAGGTTGCTCTGGGCAGTATGGTCATTTTCACAATATTGATTCTTTCTATCCATCAGCATGAGACGTATTATATTTTTTCATGTAATCTATGATTGCTTTCAGAAGTGTTTTTATTTCTCCTTGTGGAGATCTTTCACCTCCTTGGTTAAGTATATACCTAGGTATTTTATTTTTTGTACCTATTGTGAAATGATTGGAGTGCTTGATTTGATTCTCAGCTTGATCATTGTTGGTGTAATAGCAGCGCTGCTCGTTTCTGTACATTGATTTTGTAACCTGAGACTTTGCTGAATTCCTTTGTAAGATCTAGGAGTCTTTTGGAGAAATGGTTAGGGTTTTATAGGCATAAGATTATGTCATTGGCCAAATAGAGAAGTTTGACTTCCTATTTCCAATTTGGATGCCCTTTATTTCTTTCTCTTGCCTAATTGCTCTAGCTAGGACCTCCAGTACTATGTTGAACTGAAGTGAAAAAAGTGGGCATCCTTGTTTTATTCCAGTTCTTAAGATAAATGCTTTCAGCGTTTCCCCAATTAGTATGATAATATTGGCTGTGGGTTTGTCACATATAGCTTTTATTATTTTGAGGTATGTTCCTTCAGTTCCGAGTTCGTTGAAGGTTTTTATGATAAAGGGATTCTGTATTTTCATCAAATGCTTTTTCTATATTATTGAGATGATCACATCTGGTTTTTGTTTTTAATTCTGTCTATGTGATTAATCACATTTATTGACTTGTATATGTTGAGTCATCCCTCTGTCCCTGGAGTAAAATCCACTTGGCCATGATGAATTATTTTTGGATGAATTTTTGGGTTCAGTTTGCTAGTAATTTGTTGAGGATTTTTGCATCTATATTCATCAGGGATATTGGTCTGTAGTTTTCTTTTTTGGTTCTCTCCTTGCTTTGGTATCAAGGTGATACTGGCTTTGTGAATGAATTAAGGAGGATTCCTTGCTTCTCAATCTTTTGTAATAGTTTCAGTAGAATTGGTACCAATTATTCTTTGAATGTCTGGTAGAATTTGGCTGTGAATCTTTCTGGACTTGGGTGTTTTTGTTGTGGCAACAGAAAGCAAAACTGGTTCAATCTCACTGCTTGTTATTGGTCTGTTCAGGATTTCTATTTCTTCATGATTCAAGCTAGGAGGGTTGTATATTTCCAGGAATTAATCCATTTTCTTTATATTTTCTAGATTGTTTGCATAGATGTATTCATAATAGTCTTAAATGATCTTTTATATTTCTGTGGTATCAGTTGTAATGCCTCTATTTCCATTTCTAATTGAGCTTATTTGAATATTTTCTCTTTTATTCTTGGTTAATCTAGTTAGTGGTCTATCAATTTTGTTTATCTTTTCAAGAACCGCTTTTGGATTCATTGATCTTTTGTATTTTTTGTTTCAATTTCATTTAGTTCTGCTCTGATCTTTGCTATTTCTATATAATAACCTTCTTTGTATTTTTTTTTACTGTTGTTGCTTTAAAGTTTGTTTTGTCTGATATAAGAATAGCTACTTTTGCTCTCTTTTGGTTTTCATTTGCATGAAATATCTTTTTCAAACCCCTCACCCTGAGTCTATAAGAATCTTTACGTGTTAGGTGTGTCTATGGAAGAAAGCAGATATGTGGTTTGTGATTTTTATCCATACTGCCTATCTGGATATTTTAAGTGGAGCATTTAGATCATTTACATTAAATGTTAATATTGAAATGTAAGGTACTTTTCCAGTTATTGTGTTGGCTGTTACCTAGTGACTTTGTTTTCTTCATTGTGTTAGTGTTTTATAAGCCCTGTGAATTTTATGCTTTCAGAAGGTTCTATACTGATGTGTACTGGCCTTTTGTTTCAAGATTTAGAATTCCTCTTTAGCATTTCTTGTAGGGCTGGTCTCATATTGACAAATTCCCTCAGTATTTGCTTGTCTGAGAAAGACTATTTCTCTTTCATTTATGAAACTTAGTTTTGCTGGATACAAAATTCTTGGCTGACAGTTGTTCTCTTTAAGGAGACTAAAGATATGACCCTAATCTCTTCTAGTTTGTAAGGTTTCTGCTGAGAAGTCTGCTATTATTCTGATAGGTTTTCCTTTATGGTCTACCTAATGCTTTTATGGCACTGTGTTAGAATTATTTCCCTCACATTGATTTTAGACAGCCTGATGAATGTATGCCTTGATGATGTCCTTTTTACAATGAATCTCCCAGGAGTTACTTGGATTTGTTGAATTTGGATGTCCAAATCTCTAGCAAGGCCAGGAAAGTTTTCCTCAAATAGGTTTTCCAAACTTTTTGCTTTTTCCTCTCTTTCATGAACACCTATAACTCTTAGGTTTGGCCATTGTCTTGGGGACTTTGTTAATTTCTTTTAATTCTTTTTTTCTTACTTTTGCATGTTTAGGTTAATTAGGTTAATTAATTAGGTTCAAAGACAAGAAACCTTATCTTTGAGCTCTGAAATTCTTTTTTCTACTTGGTCTAGTCTATTGATGGAACTTTCTACTGCATTTTGTAGTTCCCTCAGTATGTCTTTCATTTCTAGAAGTTCTGATTGGTTGTTCTTTAATGTATCTATCTCTTTAGAAAATCTTTCATTTCTATCCTGAATTTTAAAAAAGTTTTTATGTTTGTTTTCACCTTTCTCTTATATCTCCTTGAGTAACTTAATAATCAACCTTTTTAATTCTTTATCTTGTATTTCAAAGATTTTTGTCTTAGTGTGGATTCACTACTGCAGACTTAGTATGCTCTTTTGGTGGTGTTATAGAACCCTGCTTTCTCATATTGCTAGAATTATTTTTTCTGGCTCCTTTTTATTTGGGTAGACTATTTCTTTTAATTATTTTTGAATTTATTTTTTATTTGACTGGGTTTTAAAAATTTCTTTCTTTTCCTTTTGAGGATGTGACTTTAATGTTTTTAGTTAATTGTTACCTAGCTTGGTCCCTGGGTTCTTTTAGAGAAGAGTCTATTAATTAGTTGGTTATATAGAATCTGTGTGTGATGGTTTTCTCAGTTGCTGGTTGTAGTAGCAATGTGCTGTGTGTGTGAGCAAAATTCACTGTCTCTTAGGGGCTGGAATGACAGAGGTCTCATGAAGCTTACCTAGTTCCCTCTAAAAATTTTTCTTCCCAGTATTTTTTTCACTGGGTTGAACAGTTCAGGCTTCAGGCCAGCAGGAAGTGACCACAAAACCAGATTCAGCTAAAGCAGGTAGGTAAATACAGTGCCCCAGTGGTAGATGGAGATCCCATCTTTGACAGAGTCAGCTGGGTCAACTGTCAGTGAAATGCACTGCAGTCTTTTCAGGGGGAATGGAGGAAGCCACCACAGCTCTCCTTCCAGACCAGTGGGAAAGTGATCTACTTCCCAGTCATACCCCTAACCCAGTGTTCCAGCTATTCAGATCAGATAGGCACCTCTTTTCATCTGCAGGAATGTTGATCTTCCCTGTAGAGAGGGATTGCAAAGAGGAGAAGGAGTCCTCTTCTCCAAGACCCTTCATGAGCAGGGCTGCCTGACTGTTGGGGTAGAGCTGAAGACTTTCCCACTGAGCCCAGCACTGCACCTGTGCTTCTGCTGAAAGATATTTCACACAAGTAAAAAGTTCATAAACGCAAGGCCTGCAGTCTGGTTTCTTTTGCACCATGGGGTGCACTCTCTCTTCCCCTAGGAGTAGCAGCTCCTGAGGGCCATACTACTGTGAATCCTGCTGCTCCTCTGGGTCTAGGTGCCCAGTGGGGCTGCCACACTTTAGGTGGGTTCTGGGGAATATCTGCAGGGGATCCAGTGATGTGACTTATCCTCAAGTCTTCCAGTAGCAGGCACCAACATCAGCTCTGATGGGGGTGGCAGGGCAGAGACATAGACTATGTGAGATTTCCTTAGCCTATAAATAGCCTTAGTGTGTTAACTTTCTCAAATGCCAGGTGCAGTAGTGATATACTGGGCACACAGACAAACTAAAGACCTGGTGAGCCAGGGTGATGCAAGAAATGATGATAGATGAAACTGTGCAAAGGTTTTCTCCTTCCTGAGCACTGTGTTATTGTGCCTGCAGATGTTGTAATGGGCTGTGCCAGTTGGCCTTCCGCTAGGAGTAGGTGGTGTTTGCAAAAGACCACTAACTGAGGTGGTAGAATTTGGGCTCGCCTTATGTTACCCAGGGGAGATACCCTGGAGTCTCAGGCAATGGGTGGGGCCATGGAGCCCCCAAACATCCCTGTCTGTTGTGTTATGCTACTAGGGAGGGTGGAATAGCAAAGCTGGAAGGGGGTTGAGTCAGGCAACTTTACTCTTTGGATCCCCATGTGTGGGCACAAGGAACAGCTTCAATGGGTATCAGAGGGTAATTCCCTGGCCACTGGGTTAATGTTCCAGGGATGAGTGTAGCTACCTCTGCTGTACAACAGAATCTGCATGGGAAACTGAGGGTAGCCGGCAGCAGTAAGCTCCACTCAGCTCTCATGCGCTTGGCAGGATTGGTCTTACTTACACCCACAGTATTCTGCTAGCAGCAGCCAGCTGTGTACCAGGCAGCCTGTGCTCAGAAATCAGAACTGCCCCAGGCCAGAAGCCTTCCTGATAGAGATAGAAACCACAGCTTTCAGGCCACACCCCTCCTGATCTGCCTGAAATGGGGGAATGTCCAACTCTTGTGCTTGTGGCCTTGCACATTTCCCTCTTCTCAGTTCTGGTTAATGGGGTTCATCCCCACTCAAGTTCGTATCACAAATCTCAGTTGGGAGCTTCTCTTAGCCTGTGACCACATCTGAGTTAGCTTGCAGACTTCTGCAAGGTCCACTGTGAGGTAGAAACAAGAATGGCTCCCCTCTATCCTTGCTGGAGTCTGGGAGTGCATGCAAAGCACCACCCGATGCCACTCTTTCTCATATATTCCCCAGTGCTCCCTAAATCAGCTCCAGTGCTGGGTAGGGTTAAGGCTTTCCCCCATGGCTTGCATTGCCCAGCTACCCTGTGGGAGTGTGTGTTATGGCAGCAGGCAATCTCTCCCCCTCTCACACTGCGGAGACTCACAGTTTTCTGTCTGGTTCACAGTGTAGGCTTCTGCCTGCTGCTTATTTCAAAGGGTCTGCATTTCTTTCAGTTTTTCTAAGTTCCTGTCTTGCCTCTTGGAAAAAAAGTTCACAGTGTGAATCTCTACACACTATTTTGTCTTTCCAAGTGGAAGAGGCATGCTAACAATGCCTCTAGTCTGCCATCTTGGACTTCAAAAACAAAAACCTCTCCTTCAAAAGAAAAACAAAATCAAACTTTTAAAATGACGATTATTTTGCTGAAAATAAGTCTTATGATATAAATATATAATAATTTGCATTACATAAGTTTTTATATTATTATTTATCCCCAAATTGCTGGCCCATCAACAGAGGGCCTAGTCTTTGACATTTGCCATCTTTTGGTCACATAAAAATCATAGCTTTACATGTATTGTTTTTGATTTTGTCATTATGAAGGTATATTTGTCAAGGTAGGAAGATAGAACATGTTTTATTTAACAGTTTGTTGGCTTAATTTATAATTTTTAAATATTTAGACATATGGTATGTGGACCTCTATTTGTATTCTTGTCCCGGGCAGGCCTATATATGATAACTTTATGAGGTTGGTATTATCATTTTCATCTTTTAGAAAAGGTATCTAAAGCTCAGAGCAATTAAATTGCTTAAGGTAACCCAGTAAATAAGTGGAAGATCTGGATTCTCACCCCAGTCTCTTTGCCTCCAAAGCCTCACAAAGCCACAACATCAGTTAATTACTGAAGATTACATCTCCTGCATATGGTCTTTATGAGGAAAACAGAGATGGAGAGAATATTAGAGAGTAGGAATATTTCTCTTGTCAGCTGCCTGCTCTCTCCAGAAATACCAAACTACTTAGATAGATCTTGCATCTCAGAAGTGTGTCTGTGTGTGTGTGTGTGTGTGTGTGTTTATGCACATGTCTATAAAGCATATGTACATTAGAGGTTGAGGGTAGAATGAGAGATTGATACTCTACTAGTTTTATAAATAGCAAAGCAAGATGGTCTTTTCCAGTATTTTTATTTGAGGACCAAAGTGTATTTATTGTTTCAAATAAAAATGACATTGGCTTACATCGGAGTGAATGTAAGTGTCCCACCTTCTTTTGTGGAATGAGTCAATACCTACCAACAATTAAGGCCATTAAATGTTGTAAGAAATATGCCCCCCTTCTTGCTTATTAAAGAATTTATTCTGTACCACTTTGTCTCTTCACAGGTTTATGCAGTGATTAAGATGATTGATTCTGGAAACAAACTGCTTGGGTTAAAATCTTGGCTCTGTCATTCACTACATATGAGAAATTGGGCAAATTACTTAACCTCTTACTCTCAGTTTTCTCACCTATAAAATGGAAGCAATAATATTTCTCACCTCAAATGGTTATAGAATTAAATTTTTAATGCATATAAAACCAGAATAATGCCTAATAAGTATTATGTATTTATTTATAGTTACTACTTCCTAATAAATATTGATGTGAGGCATTTTAATAGTCAGTTACTGAGATTTCAAATAGTCTATTATCATTTACTAAACAACATTTTAAGAGAATTATAAAAGTGAAATAAATTATTTAAAAATGATTTATTCAGGTCAATCATAGTTACCTAAACATGTTTAAATAATTTTACTTCTATATGTAAGAACCAATTAAATTTATTGACATTTTTAATGAGTATCCTTTTGTAATCTCCTACGTACAAAGAAAATGGAGTGAAGCAGTCTAGATACACGTGAGTTGACTACCTCTTCCCCAAAGACACATTACTGTTAGGTGGTTTTGCTGGTTAATTCTGTTAAATACATGGAGCAGAGAAACTTCATAAGATCTTACCATATGAAATCAGTGTGATTATCAAATGAAGCAGCTACTGAGTGATTTGAACACATTCTGTGTTTTTAATAATGTGGACAAGATATATCCACTTGATTTTTAAATTTTTGCACAAATAATATCAGAAAAGTAGTGAATATTTACTATGCTTCAATTAAAGTAGAAGGCATTTGAATCATTTAAGAATTCTTAAATATCATTTATATGACTTGTGGTTGAAGATATTTTTCTGGGAGAATGCATATTTGTATTTAAAATAAAAGTCACTGCAATCTGTGATTCACTACATGGAGATTTACAATTTATGTATGCCTTCACAGAAAAAAATACGTAATTGTAAAGTGAGGTCTGACTGTATTGAAAGAAGGGGCATTTTTGTAAAAGCATGTTGTTACATACAAATTCTGGAGTCAAAATTGTAGTAGTCTAGACAGCTATAAGAAACAAATATTGAATCAATACAGACATCTTGAAGGTACTTAGTATCCATGTCCCAATTAAGGAGAAGTTCTACATATATTTATAAATCTTTACTACCTTCTGGTAGTGAGTTCTCTGAAACTGGAATGTTATTAAAAATTATTTTAAACAATTGCATAAATCCTGAACATTTGCAATGCAAAATATTCCAAAAATGGTAATAAAGAACATACTAACATTCAGCATAAAGATTGTTTGATGTCGATGGGAAAATAAACAGTATATAATACTCCATTTATTATATTGGAGATCATGTTCTCCAAACTGAAACTGAAAAATATATGGCAGGAAATAAAGTAATATGGCATGTAGTTATTGTGTGCTTGTTAAGAGTTTGCAAGCAATGTTTTGTTTTCCTTTAGTGCTTAGACTTATATTGGATTGTTTGATGTGCTTATATCCATACATTAGCAGAGGTTGTGAAATCAAGGAGGAAAGTTGATAATATTTTTAGGGCTTTCTGTGTTTCATAAATGCATCACTTGAGGCTTACACCTTCTAGCAAGAGAGAGTGAAATAGATGTATATCAGTACTATTCCCTTGAGAATTCTGACACAGGTTCAAGGAAGAGAAGCAATTATGTTAGATTTTATTTTAAGCTAAGGTTCAATAATATTATTTTAGTGTGTTTCACCTGTAAAATGTGGTGCTTTCCTGAAAAGTCAGTGTGACTATTCTGCAGTGAACTACTATACCATTTTCCATGTAGGAAGCACTTGATAAAGTTTAGCAAAGCTGGTCTATATCTTGGGATTTTTCTGGTCCCACGAGAAAAATCCCGTGAGGGGGATTATTGTTTCCTCTCTTCTGCACTGGCTGGCACAGATAATGTGTTGAAGTATTGCCTATGGTAAAATATCCATTCCCCTCAACCAAATGTCTTACTTAGAGTAACTCTGCATACTTAAAAAATATTACTTTATCTCATTTGCATTATTAATTTATTTATGCAAACTCTACAGGAAAAAATTCTGTATATTTAATGCTTGAATATCTCATATTAAAAGTCTACTAAATTTACACCCTTTAACACACTGGAGCAGGCATGTTTGGGAACTTCATTTGTCTTTCCTGTTCTATAGGGGACAAAGCAAAAACCTACATCTATTTAGAAACTGGATATGACTGTAATACTTATCAACAATTCTTAAAATGATCTTGTTGCAGATATTCTGGTAAACAAAGAGTAGACGTCTAGTTTTTAGAGAACTAGAATATAATAAAATGTAGTTCAGAATCAAACTTTATGAAATTGTCTATTACTGTGAAAAACAATTCTGGTTTATACAAAATGTCTGATCATTTGGATTCTAAATACATTAAAATTCATCATGTCCCCTTCCTAAACCATTAATTAACCCTGTACAAAATGAATGGATTGGCCAGAAAACATTCACATTTACAAAAACAGGGAAATTCTCTTAAGAAATTTACATCTGGGAGATAAATAGCTTGAATGGAGAATGTAAATGATTGATTTGATACATAAGTATAGGCAAACAAAAGTATGTGTAAATCTGGTTGGGGGTGGTGTTCAGTTGAGTTTACAAGGGTGGTGACTGACAGATTATTCTTACATAATATAGACTATATCAAAGGCTTATGGTTTGTGGAAGACATCTGTAGTCATAGGTTACACGTGAGGCTGGTAATTCTCTATGGAGAGGTAATTTTTTTTTTTCTCTAGCTCTGGGTTGGGATCAGAAAGGAAGGATTATGAGGTGTACTTCAGAGGCAAATGGTATTATTGAACAGCAATAATCTGCTCCTACAGGTGGAATGATAAACAGTTGGCTGTGTGATTGGGTCCTGCCTGAAAGGCGTAGCCTTTGATAATAAAGATAAGATGATGCTGCGATAAGCCAAGGGGCTTTTGTGCTTCCTTCTTATTTATTGCTAGCTTTTATGGCTACCAAGGAGTCAAGGTGCTGTGGCAAAGCAGCTAATTATCAGTTAATTATGAACCTGGAAAGACAAGGAATGCAGAGTTCTGAAGCTTCAAATAAAAGAAAAGAAGAGCTTGCTTTAGACTTTGGACAACCCACGCTAACTTCTTCCAGTGCTCTGTTGCAATAATTACTAATAAAATAAATAGATGGCTAACCGGTCAACTGATAATTAACTGATCTTTTCTGCTGAGCACCAAAGAACTAGGGAGTCTGCGGAGGGACAGGGTGCCCCGAGCCAGTCTTCACGACATGAAATGTTTATAGGACACAATTGTACCCGGAGGGCTCCATCTTCTGTGAGAGCTGCCAGAGATGTTTTTCAGTGCCTATGTCTTCCAGTGAAATTTAAATCTATAATTTAAATAATCTGAATGTTTGAACCCTATCTGCTGAGTAAACACACAAAGGAAGTCTTTAGACCTGTAATCACTGACTTCTTAACAGGGGCGGCCTTCTCCAGGCCAGACAACTGCAAACAATTAGGGAAATTAGTGGCTCCAGCCTCACCATCAGGCTTCATGCTTGTTTATAATTTAATCGAAGAAAATGTCAAAACAGTCAAGGGTTGAAAGAAACAAGATGCATTTTTGAGATGAAATTAAAACTGCCAGGCTGCAATATTGGGGGATGTTTGTTTAATAGTGTGTGATCCAGAACATGGACCTGATTTTCGGGAATTTATAATAATCTGTATTTTTTTGTTGTATACTGAGAAATAAGTGCATCAGGTTGTTTTTATTTTTTCCTCAAAAGGTAACTTTCGTTGAAAATCAAACAACATCAAAATAATTCTCTTCCTCTCAAAAGTCATTAAATTCCTTAGGAGCATTTCTATGTAGAAAGGCTTCTCTTTCATTGCTTAAAAATTAACATGATAGGTCAACTTACCAGCCCTTCAGCAGTCTGCACCAGCTCGGGATAAATCTGATTTGCTTCTCTTCTTGTTTTTTCCCCTCTTAACAAATATTTATGGATTTATTTTGAAAGGTAATAATACCCTTCAATTTGATTTTTGCAATTACCCCTTCATTTGATTTTATAATAGATGATTTTAGATATGAACTACATTTGAAAGGGCTCTGTCATGAGTGAATTTCTTAGTTAGAGCAAAAACAGAAATCACACTTTATGGACCCAAAGATATAATGCAGGCTTTTTGAATCAAATGGAAATTTACGAAGGGTCACAGTGACACCTCCAAGCTTAAACATTATTAGATGCTCTGCTGAAAATTCCTCTGGAAAAATTAAGGGCTGTGATTCAAATTACTCATTTAGAAATGTACATAAAAGATCAGGTAATGCTTTTGGACATATACCCAAAGAACTTTCCTTGTTGCAGCCATTCTTATGGCATTGGGGAAATACCTGATGATCCTGGGGGTCTCCCAAGAGGAAATGGAAGCAGTAGTGACATGGATCTCCTGCTTCTAAGAAGTGGCTTGGAGAGACATTTTTAGGCAAATCTTGATAGTTTGGGCCGAAGTTGGGATGGAGAGACCAATAAATCATTTATATAAAGATGGGGAACATTCCAAGGAAAGACTAGAAGTAAGAAAGGAACTGAACAAGCATGTCATAAACTCATTTCTATGGCACTTACAACTGCAACACTGAGAGTTGGAAAGAAACTTAGAGCGTCTGCTCTTGTTTTGGCATTTGATATGTGCAATTAACTTAGGTCCAGAGAAGTGGAATGGCATGCTCAAGGTTCAGCAGTTAGGTGGTAATGAAGACAATCCACATCTTCACTACACACTCCTGGTTTTTACTTTACAGCTAACTGGCGCTCAGATATTTACAGAGTAACTTCTATGTCCCAGGTACTGTTCCAGTAGAACGATGAGGGGATGATAGATAGATGAATATACTTCCCACCTTTTAATTGAAGGTGATGAACAATAAACAGCCAAACAAATAAGTGAGATAATTTTAGTACAGATTAGGGCTATGATGAGGATAAAATAAGGTAATGTGATAGAGACTGACTGAAGATGATAGGTTAATTGGTCATGGGAGGCCTCTTTGAAGATAATGGTTTTGAGTTGATACTCAAAATGTTTGAAGAGAGCCATGTGACAATCATGTGCATAGAATATAGCAGAAGAGAGCAGGATCAAGGACTCTGAGATGAGAATAAACTCAGCATGTGTAATAGGTGACTAAGAAGGCAGGTGTGGCTGGGTCACAGGAACAAGAAAAAGAGTACAGAGGGAGGTAAAGAGAAGCCTACTGGCCTGTAAGGCCTCCTCATTTAAAATAAGGATTTAAAACTTATTGTAAGTGTATGTGAGGTGGATTGAAGGCCAAATGTCTCCAATTTACCAACCTTTCTGCATTTATGCCCTTCATGATGTGAATTTGTACCTTCTCCTCTCAAGAGGCAGAAAATATTTTGCCATGCTTTGATTCTGGGTTGGCTTTGGACTTGCTTGGCTAATAGAATGTGGTGAAAATGATGGCATGTTAGTTCCAAACCAGTTTCTCAAGGGCCTTGTATGCTTCTGCTAACTCTCTTGAAACCCCAGGCACTGCCCAAGAACAAGTGTGGGCTGGCCTGCTTGATGGCGACAGACTTGTGGCCCAGTGACACCATCACCCCAGCTAAAAGCCAGCCAACTATCTGACAAGTAAGTAGATCCACCCTAGATCAGAAGCCCCTGCTGAACTGTCAGCCAGCTGGAGGCACATGAAAGAATCAAGCAAAGACAAGCTAAGCCTGGCTCGGATCAGCATTGTTGTCCAACTGATCTGTACAAGCATGAGAAGGAATACATGGTGATTATTTCAGATACTAAGGTTGTGGGTCATTATTACACAACCATAAATTCCTGATACCATAGGTGGAGCCACTGGACAGTCTTAACTAGAGTAGTAATATAATATGTCCAATTAGGGTAGTGGTAAAGAGTGTTCTGACTGCTGTGTGGAGGGAGGAAGAGCACGCAGGTGGCTTTTGCAGTTGTCCAGAAGAGATGTTAGGTTAGACTATAGTCTTGGCAATGTTATGGTATAGACAGGGTACACATATTTAGGCAAAATTACTATTGACTGTGTACATGAGGTCAACACCTCACTTTTATTTCTGCTTAACCAGCTCATGTGTAGATGTTGGGCCAAAATCTCCTCCACATTGTCTAGGTTATAGATGGCGCTGTGTATTAGTTTCTGACATTTGAATATTGTTTTTCACTGTATCGTTTTGTTCACTTCTGTACACAAAGCCCATTCACATAGTGAATGCTTACTAAATATTTATTGACTAATAAATGAATAATGTGCCATACTGAAACAAAAAGCAATAGTGTCATCAAATGTTTCATAGTTTCATCACAAATATCACAAAACTTCAAGAAACTGTTTTTGTTTCAATTTTTCCATTGGTAAAATAAGAAGATTAGGCTATACGTATGTCATAAAAAGTCCCTTCTATGTCCAAAATTCATATTATATATTAATTTCCTTTATTGTTTATCAGAATTGCTTTTGAATATGTTAATGCCAGGATTTGTCACCATCATAGAAAACAGAAAATAATTATAATACTTTTTCCCAAAGTGACCACATTAATTCAAAACCTAGGACCTATTAAAATAGATTCTCAAGCCATTTTTATGAAAGCCAGTTGAAAGAACTGTTAGGCAAAATTGTTAGCATCCCACAACTCATATTTTAAATGCCAGGTATATTGCATTATCTGATTACTTCAAATACTCTTCAGAAATAGGGAGGCAATAAATAAGAATGGAAACTCACCAACACGATTGTATATTATATATCTACTAAGATGGTGATTGTGAACACTAAATGACAACTTAGAAATTGCTGATATACACTCAGACGTGGATAAAATAATGACAGTGCTGTATAAGTAAGCCCTTGTATTCTTCTAAGGGCTACATGATTTATAACAACTCTATTAGGTAAATAAGAGTATTATCCCAATTTTATAGATAAGGAAACTGAGACTCAAATGAGTTATATTATTTTCCGAAGGTCAACAACTGCAAAGGAACCACTACTTTTCAACACAGTATTTGATGTCTTAGGCAATAAAATTAAGACAAGAGGAAAAACGTGGTATAATTATTGGAAAGAAAGAGACAAATTTACTATTTGTAGGTGAAATGATCACTCAGAAAATATGAATCACCTGAAAAGTCTTTATCATAAGAGTAAGGTAATCACTAAACAAAAGTCAAAAATATTGTTATAGCCCAATAAAATGAAATCATGGAATACAATGCAAAAAACTTTCTGTTCAAAATGCAACAGAATATATAAAATGGAAATCAGGCCAACAAGAATCATAAATGAAGGGTGTTGACCTGGGTTTCAAACTTTTGTGTCTGGCTCTAGAGGTAAAGGTCTTGACTCTCAGAGGCAGAAGAGAGACCCAAGGACCCAAGTTTCCACGAGTCTTTTTCATTTTACCAATGAATAGAAAAGTAAAGAGCTCTTTACTAATAATTTAATGGTTGAAAACTGGTGTCACAGAAAGCTATCTTTTAAAATATAGTTTAAAATCCTAATTGTAAACTTTTGCAATGTTTACAATTATTCTGCGATGGTTCCATAATACACAAAAGAAACTTTAAGGAAAGCTCTTTAAGTTTCCTGGAATTGTTTGGTTTTTTGGTTTTGTAAATGGTAGCAAATTGTCTCCTTTTTGCTTAATCTAAGTCTCTATTACTCTTTTGTTCTTTGATATGCATCACTGTTTTACATATAACTGGCATAAGTAATAGATTAAAAAGGAAAATTATTTTGGTACTGAATAGAGAGGCTTCATGGAAGGTATAGTGGGTTTTTTTGTGGGGGCGGGGTAGAACATTAGGATAGTTTGTATTATGGGCACTCTGCTTGAATCATTTCTCAGGTACCCACAGACAATAAAACATACAGTCTCCTCTGGGTAGGAAGGAAACGGTCCTCATGATGAAAGCTGAACGATCTCACTACCTAACTAATTTCTAAATTGGACTACTACCATTTTGTCCCCTATACAATGACATGACTTGTATAGGGGACAAAATGTTGGTTATGAATGTTAACAGTTCTAGAATTGATCTCAAATACTCTTCTATGATTGGAGAGCTTTACGTTAAGGATTTCAAGCCACTCAGTGGAGTGTCATGGGCTGTAAGAAATACCTGCCACAGGTAAGGATATGGGGACGGACGGGCATCAAAACCTTGATTATGAGCTGGGCCACCAATGTCCTATCCTGTTGATGATTTTGATTATAAGCTTGGCACATCCATCCATCCATCCATCTATACATCCATACATACATACATTTATTTATCCATCCACCTACCCATTCATACATAAAAATAACTCACTCAAATGTTCTTTCACTTCTGGAATGACTAATATATTTAGAATACTATGCTAAGAGTTTGGGAGGGGTAGAGAAATAAAGATAAATAATGCACCAATTCAGGTTTTAATTGAAAAAGAGTTGTCTATGGTCTTACACCTCTTTACTTGTAGGTAGTCAAAAGTTATCTGGTTACACATTCTGTTGAATAATGTCTAGAGAGTTACCATCATTTACTAGTATAAATAAGTGCTCACTGACATAAAATAAAAAGAGACCTAAGATTGTAGTCTACCTGTGCTCATTATTAGGTAATTCCAGAGAAGAGAGCATCCAGGAGCATGGAAATTTCCATGCCAAGGGCCCTTAGAACATCTTCCTAAAAGACACATAAACTTGGCCCATATGTGTTTTAACCTTAATCTCCTTGCTTTCCCCTCAATCCTTCCATTATCCACCTTTCCTCTGTTCAAAAAAAAACATAGTTCTCAAAGCATGTGGCACTTTTCTAACGGGCATTTCCTAAGAACTTTGGATGTAAGCCTAATGGTTTTGTTTGCTTCCGTGATTGCTGTCACTACAATGGGATTGGTAATGAATGTCCCGTGGCATAGTAGCATGGAATTAGGGGCTCTCACAATTGTGGGGCCCAGTGAAGAGTAGAAGAAATCTGATGGAAGATGAACTTTCTTGAAAACAGCCTGCCAACAAGGCCATGTGGCAGCCACTTCAGCCCATCAAAGCTCTCATGGAACATTTTCAGGAAGAGCTTGATTGCAAGCTATGCCTGGCTGCCTCCACTTCTCATTTCAACAACACTGGGGATATTTTCTAAACTCCTTTGAGCATAATAACAGATGAGCAACTCTGTACTGCAAGGCTATAATTCCACTGAGGGGTGCTGGCGGTGACATGTACCATGAAGTCAGAATCTGAGTGGTTTGTCACCAGAACCCCCAGGGTAGAATTATAGGCTCATTCACTTCTTGCTTATTTTCTTTAATATGTAGATGACACTTTGCCTCTCCCATCATCTCCCCTGTATTCCTTGCCCCCTATTTCCTGGCCACCAAAGAATACTTTATCTCCTACTCTTTTGATAATTTCCTATACCATTAGCATTTTACAACCTTAATGTGGACGTATTTCTGCTATCTTCTCTTATTCCTATTAGAGGTTTGCTGCTGGAAGGTCAGATTACCCTAAAGAGTCATTCTATCCAAGTTCTAGACATTGTGACAACATAGCTCTACGCAACAGTGCTTACAAGGGAGGTTAACTTCAGATGTAAACAGAGTTAGAACAGGCTGAGGCTTGGGGAGGGCTGTCAGGAAAAGCTGACAGAATGAAAAAGGACAAGATCCAAACAGAAGAAGGTGTTTCCTAATAGGGTTTGGTGAAGCTATAATTATCAATAAGCTCATATATCTATACCATATGTATGTACTTTTCATGAATATGTACATACCTATCTGTGTGTTCTATTCATGAGAATTAGTAAAAAAATTATAATAGTTTTAAACTATGAGAACTTACTTTAACCTCCACCTCTTCCCAAAAAAACCCCAAGGTCCCATGTGGTTCAACTGGTGTATTGCATCTAATTTTAAAGAAATTGCATTGTAACTCCAGAAGCCTTGATGAGGAACATCTATCTTTACTGCAGATTTTCCTGAACTGAGGATTCAGGGATTTAGCATATCACAACCCACAGGAAACATTATATGTCTCTCTTGATGGAGAATTTGCAAGTGATTACTGCTTCCACAAGCCTCTCATATTGAAGTGGTCCTTTCACTATTCACTTTCTTTTTTCTGTGCTTCTGTACTGTTTGTACCCTAAGCTCCTACATAGGATATCCCCGATTGCTGCACCTGTTACCTGGGCATATTTATTATTCATGCCAATAGTTTCTCCTGTGAAGAATTAACATTCTAGGCCCCAGAATTCTGGTGAATACTTTTCTTTTTCTGTCCTGAATGTTTTTATTAAATGCCAAGCACAAGGATAGTTTATGATGTTTTATAACAGCCCGTAAGAGTTATGTGTAATTAATCTTACACCCCCAGATATTGAAGCTTGGGTTCTATTAAGCAATTTGCCTAAGGTCACAACGCTACTAAATAGCAGATTTATAATTTGAACTCAGGCCTTCTGTCTTAAAGACTGGGCTATCATGGGGTTGGTTATGAATGTCCCATGGCAAAGTAGCATGGAATTGGGGGCTCTCGCCCACCTCAAGGAGTGGTAAGCTGAGCAGAGCGGCCAACAGAAAGCAGAGTTAGTTGGGTGTTAGCAGTTGAAGATGAAATTAGCAAATAGGTGAGAGCATAGAATGGAGCCCACAGTCCTTTCAACCTAATGTCCCCACATGCTATTTCTCTCTCCTTCCTCTGGCTGAAGCAGGAAGTGGTACTATCCCCCACAAGAATTTCCTGCATCTGACACAGGCCAATAACACAGCATTCCTCAATTCTGATGGTAAGATTTGCCTTACTTCACTACTGTGTTAGTCCATTTTCACACTGCTATAAAGAGCTAACTGGGACTGGGTAATTTATGAAGAAAAAAGGTATAATTGACTCACAGTTCTGCATGGCTGGGAAGGCCTCAAGGAACTTACAATCATAGCAGAAGGCAAAGGAGAAGCAAGGACATCCTTCACAGGGTGGCAGGAGAGAGAGAGTGTGCAGGGGAAATTGCCATTTTTAAACCCATCAGATTTCGTGAGAACTCCCTCAATATCATGAAAACAGCATGAGGGAAATTGCCCCCATGATCCAATCACCTCCCACCAGGTCCCTCCCTCCACACATGGGGATTACAATTTGTGGTGAGATTCGGGTGGGGACACAGAGCCAAACCATATCAACTACCCATCATCACTGTTATCTAAGACAATACATTCTTTCTTATTTAAGCCCATTTAAGTTTGTTTTTCTGTACTGATACACAAAAAAGTTTTAACTGACATTATTTCCAGTACTGTAAACTTCATTTCATTTTTCTTTACTGTCTTAACTGGGGAACACTGTTGAACACATCATTTTTATTTCTTCCTCTTTCTAATGAGGTGCCTCTAGTTTTTGATGATTCTGTGTGAATTTTATTATTGATTTCTAATTCGTTTTTCATATACTTAAAGCAGTATACTTCTGTTCTTCTACTTTTTATAGGATTTCAGGTTGAATTTTACAAAAAAACTTTTTTGGCATCTGTCAATATAATATATTGTTCTTCTTTAATCTATTAATATAATACATAACATTAATAGAATGTCTAATGTTAAATTTTCCTTGCATTCTGGAATAAATCTACTCAGTCATGATACATTCTTTTAATACCCTGCTTGAATCAATTTACTAATATTGTATTTAGAATTTATGCATTCATATTCATGAATATAGTTTTCTGTTCTGTAGTAGTGTGTAGTGTTTTGGGAAGAATTACATTAGACATAAAATGAATTGGGAAATTTTCTATTTCTTCTTCTAAGTTCTGGAATAGCTAAACAGACTCTTTTTTTTATGTTTTAATGGAACTTGACCATAAAATTAACAAGGCCTGACATATTTTATGAGAGGTATTCGTTTAATAACTTAAAAATCATTTTTATTCATGTTTTCTTATTTTTTTCTTTTACAAAGTGAATTTTGATAATTTTTTATATATATTTCATTCAGTGTTTCAAGGTTATTGGCTTGCTTTGTATGCTTTGTATTACTTCTGAGATCACTTCCAAATTATTCTCATTCCTAGGCTAGTAATGGGTCCTCACTGTGTTCCAGGCACTGTTCTAGGCACAATGACACAACTGTCACCAAAGTAGGCAGGGGTCCTGCTCTCTTAGGGTTTAGTGAGTAGCATTTGTGTTCCGTTTCTTTCTCACACTTTAGAGAGAATTTCCTAATGTTTGGGTTTCATTTATCACTTTGCCTATTTAAAACCCCTTTCTTTTCTGTCTTCTAATAAAATAAAGTTTGTTTTAATATTAATTCCCTTCTCCCATTTTCTTTTGTTTATTATTAACGTCATTGTCATTCTTAATGCCTTATGCATTAAATTCTACTTACTTGGTATTCATATTGACTATTTTCTTTTTGACTAAATTCTCCTGGAACAGTTTGGCCTATTCCTTTATTTTAAACAATGCTGGTTGTTTTAATATATTATCATATGACTAGTACATTACTGAAGTTTTTTCTTTGATTGACTTTAAAAATATATTTGCTTTAAAAGTATGAAAATAGTTTTATTTTATTATAAAATAATACTCATTGTTAAACAGTAAGTCAACAATAAAAGTAAAACAGAAAGCAAAATGTTCAAAAATTTTGGTCCAAGAAATTAAATTAATAATAAATATTCTTCCTGACAAATTACTCTCTCTATGTGTGTACACACACAGACAATTTTAATCAAGTGGGATTATGTTCTATATGTTATTTGTAACTTGCATGTTTTTCTACTTAAAAATATGTCCAGCTAACCTTTCCATATTATTAACTATAGCTCTATAAAATTCATTACCATGGTTGCTTACTACTCTCTCTGTTAACAGGGAAATTATCTCATATTTGGAGTGTACATTACTATTATTTGGCTTTATTTTTTATCGAATTATTTTCATTTTTTGCTTGTATTTTCTTATTTTTGTTTTCCTGTATTTTGCTGCATTGGCTATTCTTGAAAATTTTTATTTCTTCTAATGTCTTCAGAGTTACAGATCCTGATTGTATTCTTAAGATTTACTTTGAATGTTTTACAATTTAAAACTTTTCCTCTATAAATATTAAGAATGAAACTATCTATAATTTTTCTCAAACGAAATGAGAATTTTAACTTTAACTACCACCCTCTCTCACCACACAGATGTTACGGAAGTCATCTGAAATTTTATTTCTACATAAATTTTTAATATTTTCAACTTAATGTGCCATATATTTCAAGAATTTTTAATTAAAATGTGTTTTAGTCTTCAAAATCACTTTAACAACATTCATTTAAATATAACCAAATATTTTACTAATTTCATTGCTTATCATTGTTTCTTATTATTTCCAAGGTCTCATTATGATTCATTTTTCATATGGCTAGAATATTGCCTCAGAAGTTTTCTTCTCAGAAAGATAATGTGGTGGCATACTTCTGAATCCTAACTTATTTGATAATATTTTTATTTTACCTCCACATATAAATGTTACCTTGACTGACTATAGGATTAAACTTGTCACTGAGAAATCTATAAATTTGTTTTGCATATAAAAAATTTCCTTTCCTAGTACATAAATTATCTTCCCCCCACCCCACCCCACTAAGTATATGCTTTAACTTTTTTTTAAACACTATTCAAGTTCAGAAATTCCTTAGGGTGTATCTCATTATAAGCCATTTTTCTGAACAGTCAGCAAGCATTTTGATCTCAAAAATTCTCTTCAATTATTTCACTGATTGTGGTTTCCCCTTTGTCTTCCTTATTTTCTCAGTATGAAGCTATATGTAGAGAAACAATTTATTTAATATATGGGCGCATCATGGATATTTTCTGTATTTTTTGTTCTAGTTTCATTTTTGTCTGAATTCTGATGAAGTTCCTCAGGTCAGTGCAGATGCTCCCTGACTTATGGTGGGATTCTATATGGATTTTCAATTTGCGGTGGGTTTATAGGCTGTTACCTCATCATAAGTCAAGGAGTGCACTGAATGTGTATTGCTTTCACACCATTGTAAAGCCAAAAAAAATCCTATAAAATCCTTATAAAGTTCCTTTTCCTAACAGTTCTCTCCCTTGAATGGAAAGACTGATGGTGAGCTTTTGATTGTTGCAGAGTGTGTTGACAGGCAAACTTCTTTAATGTGAGTGGGCAAGGAGTTGGCAGGAATTGGGCAGGCAGCTAAGTTGAATGCATCTCAACCAGCCAAAGCCCAAATAAGGAGGTTTTCCTTATGAGATTCTGCCAGCTCTAAGGCACACCCTATTTCTTTCCCGGCACACATTCCCATTTCATGAGATAAGTTTTGTGGTGGATTTTTGTCTTGATGTATTGGGCATAGTTAATAAACTGTTTTGTAGGAATTCTACAAATAATCTCCTGGATTTGGCCCTTATTTCCTAAACTGCCCTATGTTAACTCCATATGGCTCTACCTTTGGTAGAGAAAAATAGTGTCTTACTTGTGTTATGTATGCAGATCCTTTTCTTATTTATTCTCCAATAAATCTCTTATACATTTAATAGTCCATAAATTAGTCAAAGTATCTAGTTTTCTTAGGATTCCTCTTTCTATTCTTTGTTTAGTTCTTAATTCATCCTCACTTTTGCTTTGTGATATTTATTGGGTTTTGAAAAGGAGGAGAAATAAACATGTGAGTTTATTCTGTCTTCTTGAACTAGAAGGCTTATACTATACTGTAAAATCTATTATTTTTATAAAGAAAATAAAATGATGTGTACTCTGAGGACCATCTATTTACTTCATTTTGGTTCTACAAAAAGTTCCTAAATGCCAAGGCAGTAGGAATAATTTTTCTAGATGCTGGAGATAAAAGAATAAATAGGACATGGTTCCTGCTATTGAGAAACTTACAGTTCATTGAAAGGAGATCAAACTTGCAGATAAATAATTATAAAGGAGAGCAATAATGCAATGGTAAAAGTATACATAATAGAAACACTGTAGATTAAGAAGTTATTAACTCTTCCAGGAGCCTTAGGAGGGCTTCAGAGAGAAGTTGTTGCTTGGAAAGGTTGATAGATGAAAGGATTTATCAGGAGGATGGGAAGCAAAAAGTAAAAAGGGGAGAACATTGGCAAAGGCTTGAAGTGGAATGTCCAGAGATTTATAAGCAATTCAGTGCTGCAGGAGCACGAAATGCTACATTATGGGATTGGCAGCAGGTGGGAGGTCTGGAAGAAAAGCAGGAGCCAGACCTTGGAAGCCCTTGCAGCCCATGCCACTGTGCTGAAAATTTATCCTGGAAATCATCCACAGGTTTTAATCAGAAGGAATACATAGCCAGGTTTTCATTTTAGATAGAGGTTTTTGGTTAAAGCATGGGACACAGATTTGAGGTAAGATTGGAAGCTGGGAGATCTGTTGGGAGTCTATTGTAGGGATTCTGACAAGTTAATACAAGGACTTAGACTCAAAGATGTATGTTGGGATGAATTTGAGAGAATTAATTAATCAGAGTTGTTAATTAATTAAATATGGTGGATGAGGGAAATGAATACTGGCTCCTGGGTTTTGACTCTGGTACTTGAGATGGCAAAGCGATCTCTGAGTCTTACTAGGAAAACATGAGGAAGAACATTTTGGGGAAAGGTAAATATATTAGTTAGGCTTCTCCAGAGAAACAGAATCAATAGGATTTATATTTTATATTACTCATAAAAAATCTTAACAATTCCTTATAACAAATCTCATGGCTATATTAACTGCCAAGATCTTTCAGTTTGAAATCTTATGGTGAGACAAGTAAGACTAAAAAAGTCACTACATTTCAAGAAATTAAATTTAACAACCTGTGACTTTGCATTATATCTCATATATATATATGAGATTTGTTATAAGGAATTGGCTCACACATTTATGGAGGCTGAGAAGTCTCATGATCTGTCTGCAAGCTGGAGACCCAGGAAAACTGGGTGTAAATTCCAGTGCAAGTTCAAAGGCCTTAGAACTCGGAGCACTACCCTTGTAAGAGTCCAACGGCAGGAGATGACCAATATCTTAGCTCAACAGTCTGGCAGAGAGAACCAATTCAAATTCCTCCACCTCTTTGTTCTATTCAGGGCCTCAGTGGATTAGGTGATACCCACCTGCATTGCTGAAGGAAATCTTCACTCAGTCCACCAATTCATATGCTAATCTCTTAATTTTTTTTTTTTTTTTTTTTTTTTTTGAGACGGAGTCTTGCTCTGTTGCCCAGGCAGGAGTGCAGAGGCATGATCTCAGCTTGCTGCAACCTCTGCCTCCCAGGTTCAAGCCATTCTTCTGCCTCAGCCTCCCAAGTAGCTGGGATTACAGGCGCCCACCACCATACCTGGCTAGTTTTTGTATTTATAGTAGAGATGGGGTTTCACCATATTGGCCAGACTGGTCTTGAACTCCTGGTCTGAAGTGATCTGCCCACTTTGGCCTCCCAAAGTGCTGGGATTACCGGTGTGAGCCACTGTGCCCAGCCGTTTATTAATCTCAGAAACACCCTCAAAGACATACCTAGAAATAATGTTTAACCAGGTATCTGGGCATCCTGTAGCCTAGTCAAGTTTACACATAAAATTAATCATCACAGTAAGGTATTTATTTATTAAGAGATAGAATCTTACTCTGTTGCCCAACCTGGAGTGCAGTGACATGATCATAACTCACTTCAGCCTTGGAATTCCTGAACTCAAGTGATCCTCCCATCTCAGCCTTTTGAGTATCTAGGAATACAGGTGTGCACCACCATGCCCAGCTATTTTTTTTTTTTTTTTTTTTTTTTGTAGAGACTAGGCATTGCTCCTGGCCTCAAGTAAAACTTCCTCCCTGGGTTCCTAAAGTACTGGGATTACAGTCATGAACCACCGCACCCAGCCTCGTATTTATTTTGAACATTTTGAGTGTATAGTATTGTAGGGAACTCAGGAGGTCATTAATTGTATAAGGTGCTGAAGGCATAGACTTTATAATTATAAATGTATTGGTGGTAAAAGCATGAGAGTAGATGACATCAGTCAGGGCTGGCATTTAAACCAAGAAGCAGGCCGGGTGTGGTGGCTCACGCCTGTAATCCCAGCACTTTGGGAGGCTGAGGTGGGTGGATCACTTGAGGTCAGGAGTTCAAGACCAGCCTGGCCAACACAGTGAGATCCCATCTCTACTAAAAATAAAAAAAATTAGCTGGGCATGGTGGCACGTGCCTGTAATCCCAGCTATGCTACTAGAGAGGCTGAGGCAGGAGAATCACTTAAACCCCGGAGGTGGAGGTTGCAGTGAGCTGAGATTCCACCACTGCACTCCAGCCTGGGTGACAGAGCCAGATTCCATCTCAAAAATAAAATAAATAAAATAAAATAAAATAAACCAAGAAGCAAAAATGATCAAGGATAGATCACTGGAAAATTCTGACAAAAATTTTATGAAGAGGTCTAAGAAAAAATGATAAAGAAACCAGCAGAGTATGACATTATAGAAGCCACATTATGAAGTAGTTTCAAGTAGAAGAAAAATAGAGACCAGTGATTCCTCAGGAAAATATTCCAGTTCGAAGTCTGATTGAAGGGGGTATGTAGAAAGGGAAAATAGATTCATATGGTGAGAAATGTTCATGATAAGTAAAGAAAAGTGAGAAAATAGAGGAGGATGTAGAATCAAGTGAGTGGTTTTACTGTCAAAGCAGAAGTGACTTGGATTGCTCATCATGTGAAATGGAGGTGACTATACAGATGGAGAGGGTAAAGGAAGATGGAGTTAGGGGCACAATGGGTGGAATAGGGCACAGAGCAACAAGCAGACCAGTAAGAAGAGTCAGTTGACATCAGAGTTCACATTCTTGAATTTAAAGCATCTTTCTTACCAAATGTTAAAATGGTAGAACATGGCAGGAATGCAGTGTGTGTAAACACAGAGCAGCTAATGATCAACTATAGGCTAATGCACAGCATAAACCTGAGAGGTTAGCTCATATGCAATATTATGTAATATATTATAGTGTGAAGCATTCAATTTGCCCCACCAATAAAGATAGCAGTAATTATAAAGTTGGAAACTAGTTTATAACTCCAATGGGTGTTTCCTCTTTTTGGGATTTATATAGAATGACACACAGCAGTTCCTTGTATAATGATGGACTTTGCTCTTTTATAGAACAGGAGGTGTCATGCAAGTATTTGTGTGTAAACAGCTAGACAAATCTATAGATTTATTTTTAGAGACAGCAGAATTTATTTAGGGCACAAAATATCAGGTATAATGCAAAGTCACAGGTTGTTAAATTTAATTTCCTGAAACGCAGTGACTTTTTTAGTCTTACTTGTCACACCATAAGATTTCAAGTCGAAAGATCTTGGCAGTTAATACAACCAAGGTGAAGGTGAGTTTTTAGCCCTCTAAACAAATTTGTTTCCAGTATTCTGACTTTTAAGAGTTGCTTCAGAATAACAGAATCATCTTTATGGCTTTGCTGTTAAGTAAATTGTCAAACAGTGTTACTTCTTGTTATACATCACTACAAATATCCTGATTTGCATCTTATCACCACTAATTTAAGTTAGACTATCATGTGGTCTTGAGAAAGGAAGTTATACACCATGTGCTTCAGCCCTTTCTGGGACACCTATCCTTAGATTTTGACATAAGAGAGAAATAAACTCTGTTCTTATTTAATCCACAGTGTTTTTTCTTTCCCCTCTTAGGGAAGTCTAATGCTATTTATTTTAAGACTGCTTTTATGTCATGATATCAGAATATTTTTGTTTTATTATATTATATTATTAATATATAGTATATTATAATTTTATGATAAAACTTATAAATTATTGTAAATAAAATGATTTATTACAAAACAATTAATTTCAACTAATAGTATGTAAATGGAGATCAGTCAGAATTCCTAGAACATCTGAATATATAAAAGAGCAGT
Organism: Homo sapiens; assembly: GCF_000001405.40. Taxonomy (NCBI): domain Eukaryota; kingdom Metazoa; phylum Chordata; class Mammalia; order Primates; family Hominidae; genus Homo; species Homo sapiens. The sequence continues at coordinate 198,952,685 of NC_000002.12, read as the reverse complement.
GTTTCCTAAATGATGCTCCCTAGGATACTGGTCTTATAAAATTTTTAGAAACCAAACCAAACCAAATGAAAACTTCTTCATTCTCTATCACTCTTAGAGTTTCACAAAGAATTAGTGTATTAAAAGTTATGAAACATTATTTAAAAAGAGAAACAAATTTGGAGGTCTCATACTTCCTGATTTTAAAACTAACTTAGAAAGCTACAGTAGTAAAAACAATGTGGTACTGGCATGAAGACAGGTAGTTAGACCAGTAGAATAGAATAGACAGCCCAGAAGCAAACACTCTCATAAAAGGTCAAATAAGTTTTGAGAAGGGTGCCAAGACCATTCAGTGAGAGAAGGACAGCCTTTTCAAAACATAATGCTGGGAAACCTCGGTATCCACATGCAGAAAATTAAGTTATACTTTACATTATACACAAATATTAACTTAAAATGGATTAAAGACCTAAATGTAAGACCTAAAACTATAACACTCCTAGGAGAAACCATAAGAGAAGAGATTTATGACACTGAATTTGGCAATGATTTCTTAGCAAGGAAAGAAAAAAAATAGATAAATTAAACTACAAAATGTAAAACTTCTGTACTTCAAATGACACAATCAATGGAGTGAAAAGCCAACCTATGAAATGAGAAAAAATATTTGCAACTCATTTGTCTGTTGGGAGTTAATCTACAGAATATTAAATAACTTCTACAACTCATCAATAATAAAAAACCTGATCAAAAAACATGCAAAGAAATTGAATAGGTATTTCTCCAAAGATGATATACAAATGACCAACAAATATATGAAAAGATGCTCAACATCATTAATTATTAGTGAAATGAAAACCGAACCACAATGGGATACCACCACACACTTATTAGAATGGCTACTATCAAAAACAAGCACACACACACAGACACAAATAAGTAAGTGTTGTGAGGACGTAGAGAAATTGGAACACTTGGGCACAGTTGGTGGAAATGGTGTAGCTGCTGTGGGAAACCATTTGGAAGATGTAATTCAGCAATTTCATTCCTGAGTATACACTTGAAAATATTGAAAGCAGGAACTCAAAGAAATATTTGTACACTCATGTTCATAAAATCATTGTTTCCCAGAGCGAAAAGGCTGATGCATATATACACACAAAATGTGCTATATACACACAAGAGAATATTATTTAGTCTTTGGAAGGGAGGAAGTTCTGACACCTGCTACAACATGGATGAATCTTGAGGATATTATGTTAAGTGAAATAAGCCAGTTACAAAAGGACACATACTGCACGATCCCACTTATGTGAAGTACCCAAAATAGTAGAATCCAGAGACAAAAGTAGATAGTGGTTATCAGAGACTGGAGATTAGGGGGAATTTATAGGGTTATTGTTAAATGGGTAAAGAATTTCAGTTTTGCAAGATGGAAAGAGTTCTTTGGCTGAAGGGTTATGATGGTAGCACAACAATTATGAATGTACTTAATCATGCTGAACTATATACTTAAAATGGCAAAATGGTTCATTTTATGTTATGTCTATTTTATCACAATAGAAAGCAGGATGTTGGAGGCCAGTTAAGGGATCTGTGTAGCATAGTGGACTCTAGAGTCAGATTTCTAGCACTAAAATCCAAAGTCTGTTAGCTCCTAATTGAGTCATCTTAGACAAGTCACTTCAACTCTATGCACTTCAGTTTTATTATCTGTCAAAGGAGGAGCACTTATAGAGTTTTTACAAGTATTATATTAGTTAGCATATGTAAAACATTTAAATAGTGCCTGCTGTGTGTAAACTTGTTGCTACTAAGCTGTCCTTGGTTCTTTTTTCCCCTTGACTCTCATTTTCCCCATCAAAATTATCTGTCTCCCTCTAGGTTTGTCTGCTCTGGTGGCTCTGATCACCAATGCTGCTATAGTCTGTTATCTTTCTCTCTCTCATTTTTTGTTGTCTTCTGTACTTTTGCTTTACCCTCAACTCTTTACCAGCTGATTAGAGTATATTACTTTCTTTCAAGTAATGACATTTCTGGGGATTCTCAGATACTTGTTCTTTATTGCCAAAATGTGTTTTCTTACCATTTATTTGAAGCCCGGGGATCCTGGATGACTGGTTGGACATTTCAAGTCTTATCTATTACATATTACAAAGAGTGGTTTTTTTTTTTAAAAAAACCCTCCATTACAGGGTTTTAATTGTAATCAACTCAATGTTCTCCCAGCGTTAGCCTAAATTTCCCTAAAAGCAAGGCCAGAGACAAAGAATTTCAGGCAATTTGTTTATTTAGAAAGAGATCCCAGAGACTAGAAATACAGATTGAGGAGTAAATTAGAGAAAAAGGGAAAGCACATACAAAAAAATCATGTTTTGGCTACTGATACATATAACTTTGTGCTTGTTTTTGAGGGATCATATAAAAACTTCTAAGAAATGCATTTCAAAGGAAGAAAAGAAGCACTTATTCTTCAACTTCCATCCCCTTTCAGTCAGGGGTGACTTCATTGGCATTAATTTTACTACATTTCTAGGTTTTATACATGTGACTCCAAGCTGGTCTCTGTGAGTTTTTCATGCCACCATGTCAGTGAACTCTGAGACAGGGAGTGATATGTATGCAGCATAGGGCTGAGGTAAAGTGGACCAGATTGCACCTGTGAAAAACTAGTCAAAAGCTGTGCAGAACGGTTTGCTGTAGCTGGAGTTGTTGTAAGAGATGGTGCCGAGAACAATGCACCCCTTGCATCACATGGATACACTTGTGTTCTCTAGAAATCCAGTCTGTCACAGATTCCTCTTCAAAGTTGGGGCCAGATTAAATCTCCTCAAAGATTTAATACAAGAGAGTTAGTGGGGCAAGTTACAGTTGCTGCTATTGAAGCTAGTTCTGAAGCCATAAACAATACCTATCATCTAACTCCTTCCTCAGACATTCTAGATTTTTTTCTCACCTTTGGCTAGAACATTGGTTAGTCAAGTGACTTGTCTGATAGAGTGATCTAGATCTTCATCGTTGACAAGTCCAAGCACTTAGACTTGTGCTATAGTCGTTGTGCTGTGGTTTCAACAACTACGTTCATTATTACCATGGGTCACGGAAACAACAAAAGACATTCTTGTCAAGCCTCTGGATTCAAGCCATTTTATTTCTGGATCACATCCTCACTATTCATAGTACTCAAGGTTGGTAATCCCTGTAAACACCTGTATTTACTTGTCATCCATTGTAATAAGAAGCCCCAAATGATTACATGGGGGTTATTACTTCAAATACTATGGAACTCTTTCACTCTTTCAGCATCTCAATGTGGAAGCAGTGCCTTCTGGGAACCAGGACCTGTAATCCAGCTGTTTTAGTTCATTTTCACACTGCTGTGAAGAACTACCTGAGACTGGGTAATTTATACAGAAAAAGGTTTAGTTGACTCAGTTCCACATGGCTGGGAAGGCCTCAGGAAATTTACAGTCACAACAAGGTGAAGGAGAAGCAAGGTCCTTCTTCACATGGCAGCAGGAGAGAAAGCATGACTGGGAGCAGCCACTTTTAAAGCATCAGATCTCACGAGAACTCACTCATTATCATGAAAACAGCATGGGGGAAACCACCCCTATGATCCAGTAGCCTCTCTCTGGTCCCTCCCTAGACACGTGGGGACTACAATTTGAGGTGAGATTTGGGTGGAGACACAGAGCCAAACCATATTACCAGCGGAGGCTAAGATTCTGGGCAGGAAAGATCAAATTCTGCAGGTCACTTGAAGTGATGGTGAGAGGTGCCAATTCCATTTTCACTCATTTGTTTCTGGACTAATGAATTCTAATTTAGAAAATATAGTGCCAGCCATAAAAAAGAACAAGATCATGTCCTTTCCAGGAAAATGGATGGAGCTGGAAGCCATTATCCTTAGCAAATTAACACAGGAACAGAAAACTACTGCATGTTCTCACTTATGAGTGGGAGCTAAATGGTGAGAATAAATCGACACATAGAGGGGAACAACACACACTGGGGCCTATTAGAGGGTGGAGAATGGGAGGCGTTAGAGGTTCAGGAAAAATAACTCATGAGTACCAGGCTTAATACCTCGGTGATGAAATAATCTGTACAACAAACCCTCATGACACGGGTATACATATGTAACAAGCCTGCACATGTACCCCTGAACTTCAAATAAAAGTTGAAAAAATGTAGAAATAAATAAATAAATGGTTTGATAGAACTGGAAAAAATATAGCACCAAATATTATCATTAGTTCAGTGCATATAATATATCCTAGAAGATAATGTGCCAAACTTGACTGGTTTTCCTCTGAATAGGTTCTTAGATGAGCTTATAATACTCCTTTAATATGCCATTTTATTAGGCTAACCACTTATCAATAATAAAGTATATAAAACTAGTGGATCCTTGGTCATGTGCTCTTTAACATATTTCTGTTGTCATAAGATGGGTCTCTTGATCAAAACCAATATTGTTCAGGATATCATGCCTATGGATCAGATATTCTGCTATCTTTTTTTTTTCAATGAATAAAAACTTTTATTATTTTTTCTGCTTACAAAAGTAATGTTTGTTTCTTATACAAACTATAAATCCATCAGTGATATAGAAGAAAGTTCAAGCTCATAGTAATAATCATTGCAAATATTTTATCATATATTCTTTCAGATTTATTTTTCTGCAAATACTATGTTATATATCTTATGAAAAAATGGTGCTGGAAAAGGAATTGTGAGCAAGGAAGGAGAGGTAGGTTTAATTGTGGTAAGATGAAATTGCTGTTGCTTCCAGAGTATAAAGGATCTGATGTAATTCACCTGACATCAAGTGGGTAGCTGGTATTTTTCAAGAATATAGCCATATGCAAGGGTGACCATTGGTCTTTACTGATGGCAGGTTAGACTTTCATCAGTGGCAGTAGGTAGATAAGCCTGGGTGAAAGGCGGCCCATCTTGTTGGGTTTATGTATATTCTCTAACCCTGATGCCATAGTTACTCCATTATGAGCCCATGTTCCTTCACTGAAGGGGCTAAGGACAGAAGCTAGCTGACGTTCTTAAGTTGATGCATTCTGTCCACTTAGTTATTGAATACATCCGCTGTGGTAAATGCTGTGTTCTTGGCATTAACTTTAGACCCAAAGATTAATGTGCTTTGTGACTGATTATGTATGTTATTCACATACTTCTTTCCTACTGTGTTGTCTCTGATTTTCTAATTATGCTCCTTCTGTGCCCCTAGCCAATCAGCTAAGTCTAAGAATTTATGTATAACTGTATGCCACTTCCATTGCCATGTAGTTGAATGGATAACTATTCTACTCTCAGCTCTTCCCATTGGTGGTACTTCCTCTCACCCCTTTCTTTATATGCCTAGCACCAACATGTCACACTGATCTAACTGTGAACCTGTTTTCCTTCTCCACCAATTCCACCAATTGGTGTTGGGAAAATCTCCCATGAGCCCATGATTGTGAGTTGAAGGAAAGATGGTTAGTCTGACAGTAGTTGGTGCCCTGGGAGTTTTGGCTATGTATTTATGTGATTTACTTACTCCTTCTGGACTTCAAATACAGTATTTCCATGAGATGATGGATTATTGCTCTGACAGCCCTACCTTAGGACTCTATGGATTTGATAATACCAAGTTCATCAGCAGAAGCTTTGGTTTTAGGGTTATCCGGTATCTCATGGTCATGTGCTCAGACACTGCTAAGGATTAGTAACAAGTCAGGATTAATTTTGTAAACACAGAATGGTGCCTTGCAGCAGAAACAAAGCTTTGCTCCAGAATGCAGATGCTATGACTCTCCTTTTGTGACTTGCCAGAGACTCCACATAGTGTTCTTATTCACCTTGGCTACCTGTATCACCATTGGCTCTACTAGATAGTAGGGCCTGAGTGTCAGGGCAATTTATATACAGTCTAAATTTGCTATAGAGTTCTCCCTTGCTGTAGATCCACTTAAAACTGTCACTTCAGAGTTACCTGACAAATGTAATATTCCTAAATATTGAGTATGTTGCTTTCAAAATCAAAAAGGTTTTGAAAGGCTTGTGCTTTATTCTTGGTTTTTTGAAGTACAACTTACAACAGCTTTCATTATTACCTTTAAATGGAATTCCCAGCATTGCCCAGATCTTTAGATCCTTGGAATATTCACAAATGTGGGAGACTTATGAATTTCTGTGGAGTTTTCTGCAGCATGACATTCTCCAGAATGTCAAGTTGATTGAGGTTCCCATAGATTGTATTTTAGCAGAGAGCAATAGAGTTAATGTGGCTCTGAGGCAAGATAATGATTGTGTATTGAATACTTTCCATGTGCAAGTGAATGGTTTTGACCATCCTTATTGAATGGAATTGAGAAGAATGTATTCATTGGTTCAGTAGCTGCAATACCAACTGCCAGAGATGACATCTATTCCAGTAAAAATGTTATATTCTTTACAGTAGCTGCTACTGAAGCTACCACTGGGTTAAATTTTGTTGTAGCCCTTCTGATTTTTGTAGCATTTTTTCTGTATGAGGATATTATGAGGAGTATTATCCTGCATCTGTTGGTAGTGACACTAGTCTCTTCAAATCCTCCCAGAATGCAGTATTACTTATAATGTATTATCTTGGTTAAGTGAGAACAATTTTAAGGGATCCATGTAACCCTTCTTACCACAAAGAAACTTACTCCACAGATGTGGGAACCAGTGTGAAAACTCTACTATTTAATAGATATATCTATCACAATATAGTAGTCAGTAGTCAGTAAAACAACCACAGTATAGTTGCATAGACCCAGTGAGCTCACTAAGAGATCACTCTAATAAGGAGTTGGGCTAAAACTCCTTATTCGGTTTGGCTAAAGTGTCTTTATAGGACATTAAACTCTGAATCATGGTGAATGAGTTCATATTAATAAATTTTTTCTTATCTAATTTTACGTTCTGGTCCAAAGTCCAACCCCCGTAAGTTCTACTTTGACACATCTTCCCTGATTCTTGCCAAAGGGATTTAGACAGGTTGTGTAATTCATTAGGTGAGTAAATTGTTTACTCTCTGAAGAGGGAATGTGTTTTCCTGCTCATGCTGAGCTGTTATCCTATCCTGGTCATTGTGTTGGTGTCAATAAGGAGAGGCAGGAGCAGATCTTGAGGAGAGCAATTATTACCTAATGAAGTTTTTGTCACATTATCTAGTGTGTTCATATAGGGTCTCTAGACAATGGAAGGCTACTCTCTTCAAGTAGAAAAAAAAGACCACTTTTGCCAGCATGGAACGTTCAATGAAATTTAGGGGTTCAGGATAACATACTTGTGTACCCATATATCTTCATCCCAAGTCTTAAGACCCCATTCTTTCCCTATCAGGGCACTACTTGGGCATAAATGACCTGTTGATCTTATATATTTAGTTACATTTGCACTTTGGATATTATTGCCCCTCTAAACCTGATTTTCATCACATTCTTTCCTGTAACTTTGAAAGATAAGGAAGGATCTCTAGTTCTCACTTTCTCTTTTCTCAAGGCTTCCAAAGCAGTTGACAAAGTCATTTGAATTCACAATTCATGTTATTACCTTTTCTTCTATACTTTAGAAGTGCCACAACTACTGCATAACCCCACGTTTCACTTTGAATCTGCACCTCAACCCATTTGACAAAAGTCTTATTATTGTGATCTATAAGAATCCCATGAACCATCACCAACGGGGTCTTTAATGCCTCCTGGCCATTTAATAGTGGAATAGTGGTTCAGTTTCAAATTCAGCTTCTGAGAATTTCCTTTCTGCACAAATTGTCTTAGGCTGATCAAGATAAGCCTAAGATCTGAAAGCAAAAGCCTGCAATAAAGATTACATGTGAATAATTTATTTAGCAATGCTATATTGGCAAACAGAAGTGTAGGCTAAGAGTATGAAACAGAGAAGAAAGGAAAAAACCCATGCCAGAATGAATTATTAAGTTGGCTGTAGCCATAGCCTGTTGTGCTTGATCCTGTGAAACTTCTGAGTTTTATGGCTAAAATTTGAAAACTATCTACTCAGAGAAGTATGGAAACCCTTTTGGCTCCCATTTACTAACAGTCAGGCATGGTTTTTGGGTTGCACTGGACTTTGACAATTCCAATGGACATCCCACATCATGAAGACAGAAAATTCCCGAGAAAGGAAACAGTTCAGTATTGGTCTAAGGTGTGAAGTGCTATTTGGTTGTACCTGCTTGAATCTGGTAAAAATCTGTATGAAACTTGTGATTGCAGTGGTGTCTGGAACAAATGGCATGACTGAGAGGATGGATCTGAAATGTATGAGAAATGTCCAGTATAACACAATGCTCACAACTTTCAAGATAAGCATTCTAATTTTATTAGGTGTTGTCTTCCAAAAATGCTTTCACTGAGTCTCCAATAGGCCATTTGACTATTCCACAAGGCCAGATTCCTCCCGGTAATGATGTAGGTAATAAAATGCGTAAAATCCTCAGATGTCAGCTCATCGTCTCACTTATTCAGTGAACAACAACCGCTAGATTCTGGTGCTGTTTTTATCACCTCTAATCACCCCTGCTAGACTGCTATATTTAATAAATCTTAAAATTTCCCTAGATATTCAGGCTGTTTTAGGAACTCAGCCTATGCTAAGGAATTTGTCATAGACAAATAGGGATATCCCTCATGAGCAAAGTCAATTTTAGAGACTGACTATTCTCCAATTCTGATTGTTCTTCCCATACCCCTAGCCATACACACCTATAATCTTATAGAATTTCACTTACCCATGGACTTTGCTTCCTTTTAACTTCAGCTTGCCCTTAGCTCTTGTGGTCCTGACTCTGTCATGATTTCTCTCCAGGCATCATCTACCTTCAGTCCCCCACTGTTAACTGCCTCAATCTTCCAATATCTCAATGTTAAAATTCTTCAAAGAGATTTTATTTTAGGCTGTGTCTCACCTGTCTGGATACCCATGGACTGTTTGCGTTTGGCTCTGGCACTTGCCATTTTTTCCAAAACCTGAAGTTGAGTGGGGAGAGAATCTGTGGGATCAAACCTCTCTACTCATAGCTTCCTCTTCAGTAACTACAATGGATAAGGTGTCTTTCCCTGCAAGGAAAGGGACTTGCAAGGGACTGAGTACAGCAGATACCACCACTGGTTTATCAGCATGTAAACTTTCCTACACCAACTGTTCTAATCAGAATGGAAGTCCCACGCTCTGCCTCGGGACTGGAAGGAATCATAGATATGCAGTGCTTATATTTGTGAATTGTTTTTTCCTCTCTGTTGATCTGAGTATTTGCATATCTCAAATATGACAACCAATAATGAATGGATAAGGATTAAATGACTTTCATTTTCTCTTTTAATTCACAAATAACTATGTACTTCATTCTGTTAATCCAGTTAATTCCCCACAATTAAATTAATCACCTTCTTTATATAGCCAGGTTTATTATGTGAAATATTATCAAATGATTTATTATGCTTTAAATTTTACAAAGCACTTATGTATCTGGTATTACATTCAGTCTTCATAACAATCTGGAGAATTAAGCAATAGAGATTGAACTGAGTTCCTAATATTGGTGAAGAAATGGCTGAATATCTTGCCCATGCTACTATTTACCAAAAAATTAACAGTGTGCAAATAGAGACCTCCTTCAGATCTGCAGTCAAATACACCTTCCCCTATATCACACCATACCACATTTGGTTATATATGTACATATAGATTACCCCAATAAGGTTTTGATTGCATAGTCTCTCTTTATGTTTTTATAAGACACTGGGAAAACACACACAGGCACACACTTTCTGTGATAACCAGTTTCTTTAGATGTAAAAGAAAAGAGTTGGATTAGATGGTTTCTAATATCTCCTTTATTTCTTCCATTCAGATTCTTATGCACCATAACAACCTGGGAAAGCCTCTTTCACTTTTATCATACTGTAAATCATTATTCTTTCTCCCACTTTTACTAAAAAGTCAGTTCTCCAGTGTGAGATGTGCTGTTCCAGATTTGAATTTTTGTCCCTAGTGCCAAGGACAGTGCCCCTCACATAGTAGGCATTCAATGCATTCATCAAGTAAATAAAACAACAATTGGAAATCAAATTTTACTTCATAATTCTGAAGACATCACATCTTATTATTCATGGTTATATTGAATTAGAGGGCTTGAACAATTGAAAATCAAATTTTAGTTTTCAGTTTAGGGCATTAGTATTATTAGAGCCAACCCAAGGCAAAATGATGAAGTAGGCCAAGTGAGTCTTCAGGGATTCTACATCAATCTTCTTTCCAAAGATGTTTGGTGTTCAGCATGTAATTCATTCACCTCAATTTTTAGAATTGATAGAAACAGAAAGATAGACATTGAAAAAGCCAGAACTAGATAGTAAGGATCTAATGAAATAGAGTTAACAAAATAGATTTAATGACATGTAAGATACTCTTCTGAGAGCGAATAAATGTCTTTGAAAGGCAGGCATGGCTCGATTTTAGTTTAGATGATTTAAGCATAACCATATAAGAATAAAATATTGCATATAACTATAACAGGAATTGTGTTTTAGTTCTATAGTTGTCATTGTTTAATTCATTGTGATTTGTTCTAATGTCAGTGACATATCTTCAAAATATCAAAATTAAATAGGACACAGGATTTGCTGTGATAAAAATATTTTTTTAAATGTACCTCGTGGTATAAAATTGACATTGTGTTTCTATTTTGAAGACAATGTAATTTATACAATAATATTGAAATATATATTTTGTGTTAGTATAATACAAATATAAAATAGATATTTATTGGTATAAATCTAATACTGCACATCAATTTTTGTTCTTTTAATTCATTAATAATGTAAAAATTGCGTGGAAATTTGAGCCTCCACAATAAAAGGATGATTAAATCTGTTGATGTGTATATAAGCTCCTAATTTTGTGATATCAGAGGTACTGAAATAATTTTACTGCTCTGAGGTTAGAATGACCACATTTTCCATAAGCTGAAGTTCCATGCTTGAGTTATGCTTGTTTTCATTTTAAGAAAGGCAATTCATTTTTAATAACTGTACCCCATATTTTGTTTATGCCACATATGTTCAATCTAATAATTTATTTTGTTCACTTTGTCAATTTTCTTAAGACTCCTTTTGTTTTTTCCCTTTTCAAGCACCAAAGTTACCATGGAAATGGTGCCATTGGTATCATGGGTGGGGCATTTACAGAAGTATATGTAGCTGCACTTTGTGAGGTTTTAAGATTCAGACCATGTCATGGAGTGAGAAAAATCAAGGTTGACATGCATTTTACCTTCAATATATGTTTTAGCCCATTAGTTACAGAAACCCATGTTGAGGTAACATTTTGATTGAAAATTAAATGACAGAAGAATGAAAGTAAAACCTTAAAGCTCTCCTAGTAATGCTGATTTGTTCATATTATATTTTACTCCTATATTGTTAACCACTTAATCTAAATATTAATATTATATATGTCAAAAGTATCTGTGGCATAATTATTTGTCTATATGCCTCCATTTGCAAAATTAAAAGTAAGAAAATTCAGCACCTCTATTTCTTTGATATTGGTATTTGAACATATATAGTAACAATGTACACTTATAGATCATGTAGCTAGAGGATATTACACCATTTACTTATATTTCTAATAGACTCCTTGATATAGAGAAGCTCTTCATTTTAGTATATTATATGTAGTCTACTGATGTGCTTTCTATCACTATGGTTTCATCTTTTTAAGAATTTCATATAAATAGAATTATAGTATATATTCTATTGTATCTGACTGCTTTTACTCAACATAGTTATCTTAAAATTTGCACATGCTGTTGCATTCATACTTAGATTATTCCTTTCAATTGCTTCACTATTTTATGTTGAAGGGGTCCAGAATATATCACCTCAAAATATACCATTTTAAGATAAAGATTTCTTTGAGCTGAAGGCAATTGAGAATTAACAGATGGAGTGAAAGTTCTCAGCCTTCCTCTGATATCTGCCTAAGAGTAGGACACAGATTTACCTTTGTAAAGATAGTATAAACTTTTCTCCCCTCTCCTAGATGTACCAAGATGAGAACAAACCTTATCACTGGAGACAGAGAGCCAGTGGCACCAACATGAGTCTGTGTAAATGAAACTAAATAAAATAACATTTATCTTTCATTAAATCCTCGTGTATATATCCTATTACTTTCCCATAATTTATCAGCCCTAGATGCCCTAATTCTCTTTCTTGTATTTTGTCAATTCTCGACAATTTATTGCTCTTTGTTAAAATGGTACATATGCCCCTAAGTTTAACAGCTTCTTTGAGCCTTCGACTTCTTTTCTGTGAAGCCACTGTGCTTGTAATATTAAAAATTATAATGACAAGGCACAATGGCTCATGCCTGTAAACCCGGCACTTTGGGAGGACGAGGAGGGAGGATCACTTGAGCCCAGAAATTTGAGACAGCCTGGGCAACATAATGAGACCCTGTCCTTATACCTACAAAAAATAAAAATAAGTAACTGAGCAAAGTTATGCATGCTTGAAGTCTCAGCTATTTTGGAGGTCGAGGCAGGAGGATCACTTGAGCCTAGGAGGTCAAGGCTGCAGTGAGCTGTGAGTGCACCACTGCATTCCAGCCTGGGTGAGAGAGCAAGACTCTGTCTAATAAAATTTGTGTGCTTTTTCTTCTGTTAATTTGTCAGTTTAATTCACAGGTCTCAGTTACTAAACCCAGGAGGATAGAGGGATTTTTTTTTTCTGGATATACCAAAATCTGTGAATAAATATTGTGTTGTTGGATGTTTGTGTTGCTTCCAGGTTTTGGCTATATGAATAAAGCTTTTATTAACATTCATGTGGAAATCTCTGCCTGAACTTAGGTTTTCATTTTTGGGGGAGGGTTAAGTAATTAGAAGTGATGTTGCTGGAATGTATGGTAAATGTATTATTAACTTTGTAAACATCTTCCATGAAAGTTATAGCATTCTACATTCCTACTGCCAACGTAGTTTTAGTTCTAGTTGCTCATATTCTCATCAATGCTAAGTAATTTTAGTTTTTAAATGTTAGCCATTCTAACATTGTTTTAGTTTTAGTTGCTCATATTCTCATCAACACTAAGTAATTTTAGTTTTTAAATGTTAGCCATTCTAATGGGTGTGTAATAGAATCACAATTTAATTTTCATTTTCATTTCTATGTCAGCTATTAATGTTGAGAGTCTTTTTGAGTGCTTACTGGCAATTCATACATCTTTTTTGTAAAATATATTTAATTTTTTGCCCATTTTTATTAGATCATTTTTCTTATAAATGAATGTTAAAAGAATTTTTTATGTAACAAAGTTGCAGCTTGATAGGAAGAATAAGTTCTAGTGTTCTATGGCATTGTAGGAGAACTATAGTTAACAATATTTATTGGATATTTTCAAATATCTAGAAGAGATGATTTTGAATTCCCAGTGTGAAGAAAGGATACATGCTGGAGGTGATGGATATCACAATTACCCTGATTTGATCATTACACATTGTATACATGAACTGAAATATAAGACTGTACCCCATAAAATATGTACAATTATCATGTAACAAAAATAATAGAAGAAGAGTTCTCTATCTAGTCTGGATACAAGTGCTTTTTCATATATATATGTTTTATAATTTTTTTCTGCTAGCCTGTGACATGTGTTTTAATTTTCTTTATAATTGTGTCATTTGCAGAGCACACATCTTTAATTATGGTAAATTCCAATTTATCTTTCTTTTCCTTTACGGTACATTTTTAATGTCCTATTTGAGAAAATTTTACCTACTTTGATGTTACAAAGATTTTTGTTATGTTTCTTTTTATAAGTTTTAACGTTTCAGCTTTTATTTTTATGCATATAATATATATAATATATTTTGAAATAACATTTGCATATGATGTGAGGTAAGGATTTGAAAATATTATTTTTCCATATGAATATCCAATTATTCCAGAAACAATTTTAGAAAAGACTATTATTTTCCCACTGACTTACCTAAGCCCTTTGTCAAAAATCAATTGCAAATATATGTGTGGCTTTATTTCTGGATTCTATTCTGTTATGTTAATCTATATGTCTATCCTTATGCCACCATGTCCTGATTATACAGATTTATAAGATCTTGAAATCAGGTAATATGAGTCCTATAACTTTGATCTTTTGCAAAATTGTTTTGTGCGCTCTATGTTTTCACATTCCCTTATAAATTTTAAAATCAGCTTGCCAATTTCAACCAAAAATAAAAGCCTTCTGGAATTTTATTTTAATCTTTTATTTTGAGATAGATTTAGACTTACAGAAACACTGCAGAAATACTTAGAGTTTCCTTGTACCTTCATCCAGATTTCCATTATGTTAGCATCTTACATAACCGTAGAACAATGATCAAAACTAAGGAACTAACCTTGACAGAGTGTTATTAGCTAAACCAAAGAAGTTATTTGAATTTTGCCAGTTTTTCCACTATTGTGCTTTTTCTGTTCCAGGGTGCAATCCCGGATGCCATGTTGCATTTTGTTGTTATGTCTCTTTAGTTTTTAAAATATGTGACAGTTCTCCATCCTTCCTTGTTTTCCATAGTCCTGATGCTTTTGGAGTGTATGGATCAATTATTTTTTGAAATGTCCCTCCATTTTGGTTTGTCTGATGTTTTCTTATGATTAGATTGAGTTCATGAACTGTTGAAAAGAATATTACAAAGTGATACGCCCTTCTCAATGCATGTCAGGTTATGCATAATGTCAATATGTATATTGAAATTTTGATATAAAGTTGGCTTTAGGCACTTGGTTAAGGCACTGTCTTCCAAGATTATCCATGGTAAAATTACTATTTTCCTATTTGTAATTACTATTTTTTGCATATTGTTTGTATATTATGGAAACTATGCAAACATTCTGCTTCTGCTTAAACTTTTGCTCCCTAAACCTTGCAAAAATTAGGTGAATCTTGCCTATGTCTATTTCCTACATCATTTATTACTGTACTGTACTAATAGCGATTTTCTATTTAAATTGTTCTTCTATATTTATTAATTGGAATACTTCTATAGGAAAAATTGTTTTTTCTCTTCCATTTACGTATTCAGTTATTTATTTAAATCATTATGGTTTAATAACATATTCAGTTATTTATTTTGTTTTGCTCAAGTTGTTGCGATGTTGGTTGTGATAAATTCTTTTACGTTGAGCGCTGCATAGTTCAACACTTAGACATGCCTCATCATTTTTTTAGCACTTCTTTTCCTGTGGTACTTTTAGTTATTTTAGATTTACTTTATATTTACCTTCTCAAACTCTTGAATCAACCAATTATCCAAGGATGTCTGCTCTATTTTGTGAAGAATGTTATTCAGGAACCAAGATCTAGGTGGTATGCATATTCATTAGTATTGGTATTTCGTTGATCCTAGTCCCTCAGTGAATAGACTTAGAAAATATATGTCTACATAATAAATTATGAATACACATTTTATGATTATTTCCTTATATGTCTACACATTTTTTAAAAAATTATGAGTTCATATTGGTAGTGTTTATCATCAGCAGATACACATGATAAATTTTAAGATAGCATTGTGACTGAGTAATGAATTGAGAATATGGAGCTGGAAAGAGATGTGCAAAATTAGATCACACAAATTGTCTTAAACACACCATAGGATTTATTCTGTTAACCCAAGTATGGTCTCATTGACGGTTAATTTTAAGTGCCAACTTGACTGGGTTAAAGGTTATCCAAATAGTTGTTAAGGCATTATTTCTGGGTATGTCTGTGAGGATGTTTTTGGAAGAGATTGGTATTTAAATCAGTGGATGGAGTAAGAGAGCTCCAGTCTCACCCACTGTGGGCAGGCACCATCTAATCAGTTTAGGGCCGGGATAGAGCAAGAAGGCAAATAAAAGGCAAATTCACTCTCTCCTCTAGAGCTGGGGCTCCCATCTTCTCTTGTGCTTGGGTGTCAGAAATCCAGGTTCTCTGGCCTTTGGACTCTGGGACTTGCAGCATCAGATCTTGGGGTTCTCAGGCCTTCAATCTTAAACTGAGAGTTATGCCATCGGCTCCCTTGGTTCTCAGATCTCCAGACTTGGACTGAGCTATGCCACTGGTTTCCCAGGTTCTGCAGCTTGCAGACAGCATATTGTAGGACTTCTTAGCTTTGATAATCACATAAGCCAATTCCCATAATATGTTTACTCTCATATATCTATATATATGTATATATATATCTTATTGGTTCTGTTTCTCTGCAGAATCCTGATTAATACAGTCCCTTTTGGTAAATTTCAACGCATCCTTAAAAGCAATGTGCATTTTGCTATGTTTTTGACAGAGTTTTCTGTAAGTCATATTGGTTGTTAGTATTCATCTTTATCCTTACTGATTTATTATCTTTTTTTTTATCACTCACAGAAACAGTACTGTTGAACTTTCCAACTGTAATTTTACATTTATTTGCATATTTCTTATGGTACTATTAGGATTTGCTTTATATATTTGAAACTCTGTTATTGACTGTCTATACATTTAGGAGAGTTATGTATTCATGATGAATGGATCCCTTTTCCTTTATAAAACATCCTTCTATGACTCTAGTAATATTCTTTGTTTTGAAGTCTACTTTGTCTGATATTAATTTAACCACTTTTTTAATTATTAAAATGATTATTATTATTTACATGATAAAACTTAATCCTTCCTTTGACTTGAACCTATTGCCATACATATATATAGTGTGTATATATAACATATAAATATATCTATGTATAGTAAATGTCTTGTACACAGTACATATTTGGATTTTGCTTTACATAAAACACTCTAACAATCTTTTTCTTTTAATTGGAATGCTTGAATTGTTTTCACTAATCTAATTATCAGTATTCTTAGCTTTCTGTCTATTGTATTTGTTTTTCTTTCTCCAATATCTGTTCTTCCTTTCTTTTTTCTTTTTTTTTTTTGCATGCCTTCCTTTGGATTAAATGCATAATTTAAGACTCATTTTTGGCTGGGTGCGGTGGCTCATGCCTGTAATCCCAGCACTTTGGGAGGCCAAGGTGGGTGGATCACCTGAGGTTGGGAGTTCGAGACCAGCCTGACAAACATGGAGAAACTCCGTCTCTATTAAAAATACAAAACAAGCCGGGCGTGGTGGCACATGCCTGTAATCCCAGCTACTCGGGAGCTGAGGCAGGAGAATTGCTTGAACCCGGGAGACAGAGGCTGCGGGTGAGCCGAGATCACTCGCATAACATAGATTATGTGACATAATCATAATCATAACATAGATTAGCTATGTTAGTAGCTTACTGGAGCCTTCATAAAATATATATTTATCTTTACAGTTTTTTTATGTCTCAGTATTTTATTAGGATAAAGAATCAATTTACATTTTATTTTATTTTATTTTTTTAAATTTATTTTTTTTTATTATACTTTAAGTTTTAGGGTACATGTGCACATTGTGCAGGTTAGTTACATATGTATACATGTGCCATGCTGGTGCGCTGCACCCACTAACTTGTCATCTAGCATTAGGTATATCTCCCAATGCTATCCCTCCCCCCTCCCCGCACCCCACCACAGTCCCCAGAGTGTGACATTCCCCTTCCTGTGTCCATGTGATCTCATTGTTCAATTCCCACCTATGAGTGAGAATATGCGGTGTTTGGTTTTTTGTTCTTGCTAGAGAAATGCAAATCAAAACCACAATGAGATACCATCTCACACCAGTTAGAATGGCAATCATTAAAAAGTCAGGAAACAACAGGTGCTGGAGAGGATGTGGAGAAATAGGAACACTTTTACACTGTTGGTGGGACTGTAAACTAGTTCAACCATTGTGGAAGTCAGTGTGGCGATTCCTCAGGGATCTAGAACTAGAAATACCATTTGACCCAGCCATCCCATTACTGGGTATATACCCAAATGACTATAAATCATGCTGCTATAAAGACACATGCACACGTATGTTTATTGCAGCATTATTCACAATAGCAAAGACTTGGAACCAACCCAAATGTCCAACAATGATAGACTGGATTAAGAAAATGTGGCACATATACACCATGGAATACTATGCAGCCATAAAAAATGATGAGTTCATGTCCTTTGTAGGGACATGGATGAAATCGGAAATCATCATTCTCAGTAAACTATCGCAAGATCAATTTACATTTTAATTAATTAACTACATTAAAAAATGTATTTGTTTATTGTCCATAACATGGTATTTTGAAGTCCGTATACATTGTGAAAGGTTAAATTGAGCTAAATAACATATGCATTCTATGTTCACAGTCTAATTTCAAGTAATGTTCCCCCATAACTATAATATAGGGAACATACAATAATATAATTCTATTTTTTCCTCTTATTCTTTGTGTGCCTATCATAATCTTAGTTCTATATGCCAACAATTCATTGTGGTTTTTCTTTATAAAGTTTATCTTTTAAATAAGTTTTTTATAAATGAGAATTTTTAAAAGTTTATTCATATATTTACTATTTTTATCATTCTTAATTCTTTGTGTTGATCCAAGTTTCCATCTGGTATTATTTACCTTCTTCCCTAAAAAATTCATTTAGCAGTCCCTTTCTTTCTTTTCTTGTAGTGTAGATCGACTGACGACAATATTTTTTTAGTTTTTGTCTGTCTGAAAGTCTTTATTTGTGTTCATTTTTGAAGCATATTTTTACTAAATATAGAATTCTAGGTTCACAGCTTTATTTTTTTTCCTTTGGCACTTAAAAATATCTTTCCATTGTTTTCTGAACCATTGTTTTCTGAATTGCATATTTTTTGTAAGAAGTCTGAATTATCTTTATCTTATTCTACCTGTTTAGTGTCTTTTTTTCTCTGCCTACATTTTTAGTGATTTCAGAAAGAAACTTTGATTTTACATTCAGTAACACATAATTACCCAGATTACTTTAAAAGAAACTTCATTAAATAATAAGAATAAATTATAATTTAAATTAATTTTGTAAATGACACCTGAAGGAAAATAACATAAGTATTGTCAATATAATCTTCAAATCTTATTTGACCTATGACAATATTCTCTGCCTAATTTTAAGGGTTTCTCTTTATCACTTGGTGTAGTTATCTTTGTGTTTATTCTGCTTGTGACTTGTTTAGCTTCTTGGATCTATTTGAGTATAGTCTTGAAATTTGAAAAGTTTTTAGCTATATGTTTTAAAATAGTTTTTCCTTCTTCTTTCTCCCCTCTGGGTCCTCCCATGTCGACTATCTGAGTCCTCCCATGCCATCTGCCTGAGACTCCAATTGTATATGTATTTGACTGCTTGAAATTGTCCCATTGTGGTTCTGTTTATTTCTTTAAGTCTTTATTTCTCCGTATCTTAGTTTGGATAGATTCTAGTGCTGTGTCATCATGTCCACTAACAGTCTCCAATCTGCTATTCATATTAAGCAGTAACTTTTTTATTTCAAAATTATATATATCTTGAACAGTTTGATTCTTTTTCTATCCATAATTTCTCTCTTAATTCCTTAATTATTTGAGTATATAAAGCATACTTGTAACAGTGGTCCTAAAGTCTTTGTCTGCTGTTTCATCTCATTTGTTATTTCTTTGCCTTTTTCTGTTGATAATTTCTTCTTCTTAAGAGTTGCATTTTCCTGTTTCTTGGTGTGTTCAACCTCTTAATAATCATAATATCTAGCATCCAAACAAACATTATTATTTGACTGGATTTAGTTATATTTCTTTAAAGAATGTTGCGTTCTGTTTTGATGGCTTGTTATTTTACTTATAGATCAGTTTGTTTTTTTTCAAGGCTTATTTTTAAGCTTGAGTAGGGTGGCTCCAGAGCAGCATTTACTCTAAAGATAGTTTAGCCCTGCTACTAAAGCATGACCTTAATGAAACCTTTACTAAATCTAAATCTCTTCATTGTATGTGAGCTTTGAGAATTGTCAGTTTTTAGTTCCCCGTTATTCTTTGCCTGGTCTCATGAAATTCAGCCCCACAAATAGATGGATTAATATTCTTCAAACACTCAAAGCTACCCCATGTAGATTTTTATAGTTACATTTTTACACAGATCTTTCCTCTCCCGACCTCTGTCCCACAGCTTCCTGTTACTTCAGGGTTTTTTCAGGACAGTAATTGAGTGTTACCAAACAATGGGCCAATAGATCTCCAATGATATATACCAAGAGTCAGTGTTGGTAGAGAGTTACTTTAGGACACAGCCATAGGAAACAGTAGCTAGTATCTAGCACTGGCATCAGTACAAGTGGGAGCCCCATCCCAGAGATAGAACTAGCTTCAGAGAATGTCCACTTGATGTAACATGACAATCATGGAAACCTTCATGTGGCTTTACGTGTAGCAAAGGACCCTGAAATTAACAGAAGCCAAGAAGATCTCATGCCCTACAACTTTGAGAAATAAGGGGCAGAGATACTGGGAACCTCTTAAAAATAAATGAGGCAAAAACACAGAAAATTGAATAAATATACAGACATATATGCACATATATATATATTATATATATATTTAAAGAGGTACTTGTCTATAAGGCCATATATGTCAACCATCATGTCATATATAGACATGCATATATGAAAGTTTCATTGTCATAAGAGCAGTACAATCTTACATACTGTCACACAGAAAGGTTTTGGTAGGGCCTAGTTTTTAATTCAAGTGTGTATAAATTTGTTGCAGAGACTTTTATCTATCTAATATATTCTCTGCATCTGCAATAACAGGATTATTACTGGGCTATGATTTCTTCAATATAGTACTTTTCTCAGCCCTCTTACAATTAGGTATAGGTTTGTGATTTATCTCCCTTCAATGGAATGCAAGTTTAAGTAATGTATATCACTTCAAGACTTAGCCACTAAACCCTCCCACACATGCTACTCCGTGAGCTAGAATGGTGTAAACTTGGAAGCAACATGTAAAAAATAAACAGAGTTCCCATTAATGTGGGGACTCTGAATGTTTGTGTCTACTCTGAATGTTTGGAGTAGAGTTGCAGTTCATACAATACTTACTATCTATAACATACTGTATAGCAGTTTATGGATCCCATGTAAATGTATACGATTCTGTGACCTCAAAGAACTAACATATCAGAGGTGTTTGTTCTATGGGAAATATCCTTCTATAATGTATTACTCTATCCTCTGGATTCTCAAAGCACTTGGTACATAGCTCTATTGTAAAACATATTGCCTGGTGTTGAATTTATTGACAAATATTTTTCTGTGCTATAACATAAGGTACCCAGGAACTGGGACATTTTCATTACTTATCATCCACTTACTGTTTCAAAAACTATTTCTTGACCTACTTGCTATGTGCCAGACACCTCACTAGTCACTGGTAATACAGTGAAGAAAACAGATGTAGTGTCTTCTCTCCTGGTGCTTAAAATTGAAGAGGAAAGACAGACAATAAAACACAAATTAGTGAATTAGTACATCTTTGGGAGGTGCAAGATTTTAAGGGAACATATTAGGGGTACCTATTTCAGCATATGGCATATTCATGTAAGGCTGCCTGGAGTAAGTGATACCTGAATTTCGAAGAGTGAAATTGAATTAGTTTGGCAAAGGGATGCAGAAGGGTTAAGAGTATTCCAGGCAAAGGCATAGATGTGTAATAAAAAAAAAAAAAAGGCCAGACTTCCCTTTGTGTTCTGGCAAAGAATAAAAAGAAATTGAAGTTGCCAGACTATGGTGATTTTGGTGTGGATGGGAAGATCATCAGGTTTAAGAGATAATTAGGAAGAAGACATGATCGAAATTGAGAGTACGCAAGACAGAATGTTCAAGAATGATCCTTGGCTTGGATAATTGGGTGTGCTTAGGACCACTCACTGAATTAGGGTATGTGAAAGGAGCAGGAGGTTAGGGTGACCAGTGCAGATGATGATCACATGAAAAGTTTGAGTTGCTTGTGAGACACCCAAGTTAAGACACTCAGTAGGCATTTGGACACGAAGAGCTGGCCCTTGAAAAGATGGTCTGAACTAGAGTTATTTATTTGTCATCATTAGTTTGAGGATTGCAGTTGAGGCTGCTGTACATGTGGATAATATCATTCATGAAGATGCCATAGGGCATAAATTGAGGAAAGCCATGGTTAGAATCCTGAGGTACATTAACATTCAAAAAACAGAAAAAACAAGCCCCAAAAAGCATTTCCAAGAGAGAAAACATTTATTTCACCATAAGATGAAGGAAGGAGATGCTTTAGTTGCTGGAAAAGAAGTAGTTCTGGGGGCCCCTAGTGGCAGGAGTATGGGGACCAGGGCTAGAGGTCACATGAGTGGATTCCAGGCAGGAAGCAGACATTAATTGGACTAGAAGTATGCCTGTGTTTCAATAATTAAATGTCTGAACCAAGAGCCTACTGGCTGAGCATCAGTTCTGGATATAGAAAGTATATAGCTTGAGGATTAGTAAGTGGAAGGATCTATCAAGTGAGAAGTCATAAACTTAGTATGCAGGAGAAGAAGGGGAAGAAGAACAGTGCTTTGAATCAGGTGGGGAAATGTTTGAAATAACCACTGTGGAGGTCGGCAGAGAGAGAGATAAGAGAAATCGATTAGGATTTTCGGGCAGTGATACAGTTTCACTGAATGTGTTGATTAAGTTAATTACCACTACCTATACATTCCCAAGTGTTCAATACGTTCTTTGTAGTAACACTTTTTTCACATATTACTTATTTGAGAAATGTATGTACAATATCTTTTTTCCTTCATAATCTTTATGCTCCATGTGCATAGAAACCAGAGGGAGAACAACAGAGAGATGTCAAGAGTCATCTTTCCTGAGTTTAGGTCCCTTTTTGGGTTTCACCAGCTCAGAGACTTGTATAGGTCATATATTTCTCCACTTAACTTTCTTCATCTTGAAAATGTAAATAATACAAGTACTTCTTACATGGGATTGTGGTGAGAATTAAGAAAATGTATGCATATAAAATACCTGGCCACATAGTGTTAGCTATTATTGTTCACTGCTCTATCTCTAGTACCTGGAACATATCAGGCCTTGTAATGTACATTTGTGGAATAAATGTATGGGTGACTGAATAAATGAGTGCTGGCAACAAATGGCAAGGATTGAATGATTTCTTTTTCTTTACTGAATTAACAACCTAGATGTGGATACAAAGAGTGGGAATTATTAAATTTTTCTAGATTTAAGGTTTATTTCAAATGGGCTCACATTGTACAAGGCAACTGAAGACACTGGTAAGAGAGGGGCTGAAATGATGGATTGTAAACTGTAAGCAGGGCTGAAAAAGCCCTGAAGCCTGGAAGGGTCCTAGCATGGGGCTGGCTTCCACATGAATACTCAGCCAATGTCTATGAAATGTGGGAATGTAAACGGTGGCAGAGAAAGTGATATAATTTGTGAAAGAAAAAAATCATGTATTATACAAATATTTGCAATCCTACCCCTTTTCTTCAAAGCCCCTTCTAGGAATGGCAGATAGATCTCAGATTTTCCTTGTTGCTTGTTTGTTGTGGTGGTGGTGATAGTGTTTGTTTGTGTGTTTGTTTTTCTGAGCTGAACGATGGCTCTGAGGACACAGGACTGGAGAAGTTTTCAGAGAGCTACATGGTTCTATTAAGTATTAAGAAAGGGACTCCTCGGGAAGATCTCTGGGAATGAAGAGGCTGGAGCCCATGAGGCAGGAGGGTGGGATGGCAGAAGGGTGAAAGAAGAGATGAAGTGGCCCACAGCTAAAGGGGGCCTTAACGACCTGGGGAACAGGCAGGTCTCATGGGGATTTTTACATTGCATGTGTTTTGTTATAAAGTTTTGCTGAAAGATATGAGATATAAATTTCTACTTTAATTCCTTATCAAACATCAGTCAACTCTTAACATCCTCTAAGGTCTTGTGGCACTGCAGTTACTTTGAGTGGGATGTGATAAAGGTGGAGTCCTTCCTCAGGGTGAGCATGGAACAGCATTCAGCACATTGCATGGCATCTGAGTATTTGCAGGGTGTCCACAAATCTTGTCAACATAGATAATATCTTAATAGAGCAGATTAAGACATCTTTGATGGCATTATATATACCCTATTTTTCCACACTTATGGGCATACTATAATTTAACTTTGTGTGCTCTCCATATAGTCTTCTATAAGAGGATCAAAATAGTTTAAACTATTATTAAACATTACTTAGATATTATGCCAATTTTAGAAATGCCTTGTCTATGAATGTTTTCCTTGTATTTTGTTATAATGTTAGGTGAACTTTAACAATTTCAGAAACAGTGTGTTAAGATTTCATTTTTTGTTCTCTTTGAGTTGGGTAAATGTGGCAGATGTCCCTTGTGCATGCACATTGGGGTGGGGGAGGAAGAGGGTGGCTGTTCCATTACGTGGCTATGTCAGGGCGATGGCTCAGCAGAGCTCATGGAGAAAGGATGCCTTGTGGGGACTCCCTGTGGAAGCAGCAGCTGCATGAACACACAGGAACCACGGCCACTAGCAGCACTTTCCCCTTCTCAAAATTCCACCTCCTTCTTTGTAACCATTTTTTTTTTCCAGAAGCTTCTTGTAAAAATTCAAAGAACAATTCCTTCTGCCAAACCTCCCACAAAGACTCATGCCTAAATTGTCAGTTAACACTTTTGTAGGGATTTCCTGACAATCAGTTAAAAGGAAAAGTTCTAAGAGAGCTAGGTGCTGGGTAGTGAAACTGACTCTCAGGGAAAAGATGGCTTGCTAATTTTGCCAGAAGCTGGCCTTAGCTGTTAAACTCAGCTGGCCATCAGGTACCAACCCATGGACAAGCATATAGCATGTGTCCGTGCTTCACTCTTGAGCTTCTCTTTGTATACATGTTCATTTTTACTTTCCTTACCTTTCTCAGATCTTCACTTAAATCACCTTAATATGAGGGAGTGTGTGTGTGTGTGTGTGTGTGTACACTAACCTTTTCTTTTTTTAATATCAACCTTTCTGAAAAGATGATTCAGGTAATTTTTGATGCACCATAGCTTTTTCTTTTTCTTTTCTTTTTTTTTAAAAGGCTTATTGAGATATAATTTACATAAAACTCACCCATTAAAGTGTACGATTAAATGATTTTTAGTATATTCACAGATATGTGCAATTATCACCACTGTCATGTTTAGAATATTTCAGTCACCAAAAAAAGAAACCCCATATCCTTTAGCAATTACTTTCATGTGCCCCGTCTCCCTATCTCTAAGCAGCTTTCTGTATCTATAGATTTGCCTATTCAAGAGATTTCATAAACAGAATCATATTATATGTGGTCTTTTGTTACCGACTTCTTTAACTTAGCATGTTTCCAAGATTCTTACATATTACTGTATCAGTACTTAATGTTTTTATGGATGAATATTATTACAGTATATGGATATATTACATTTTGCTTTCCATTCCATTCATCGATGTATATTTGGGTATCTTCACTTTCTGGTTATTGTGAATAGCACTGCTGTGATATTTGTATATGAGGTTTTGCTTGAACTCCTGTTTTTAATTCTTTTGGGTATATACTTAGGAGTGAAATTGCTGGGTCATGTGGTAATTTTATGTTTTAATATTTGAAGAACCACCAAAATTGTTTTCCACAGTAGCTACAGCATTTTACATTCCCACTGGGAATGTGCAAGAGTTCCAGTTTCGTTACTACTTCATCAACTCTTATTATTTTCTTTTTTTGTTAACACTATTATTATAGCCACCCTAGTGGGTGTAAAGTGGTATCTCATTATTGTGGTTTTGATTTGCATTTTTCTAATGATAAATTATGTTGAGCATCTTTGTGTGTGTATGTGTGTGTGTGTTGGCCATTTGTGTTTCTTCTTCTGAAATCTCTAAGTCCTGTGTCCATTTTAAATTGGGTTTGTCTTTTTATTGTTGAGTTGTAAGAGTTATTTATATATTCTAGGTAATAGACTCTTATTGGATATATGGTTTTCAGATATGTTCTTGAATTGTGTAGATTGTCTTTTTCACTTTTTTGATAGCATTCCTTTATGCACAAAAGTTTTTAATTTTGGTGAAGCTCAATTTGTCTATATTTTCTTTTGCTACCTGTGCTTTTGTTGTCAGACAGAAGAAACTATGGCCAAACGTGAGGTATGAAGATTTATCCCTATGTTTTCTTCTAAGGTTTCTGTAGTTTCAGGTCTTAACATTTAATTATTTGATCCATTTTGAGTTAGCTTTTGAAATAGTATGAAGTAAGAGTAAAACTTTATTATTTCACTTGTGGTATTCAGTTATTCCAATGCTACTTGTTGAAAAAACTATTACTCTCTCATTGAATGGTTTTGGTAGTCTTGTCAAAAATGAGTTGACCATATAGGCATGGGATTTATTTCTGGACTTTCAATTCTATTCCATTGATTTATATATCTATGGTTATTCTAATGTCACATTGTCTTGATTACCATTGCTTTGCAATTAAGTTTTGTAATTGAGAAGTATGAGTTTTTCATATTTTGTTCTTTTTTCAAGAATGTTTTGGCTCTTCTTGGTCCCTTACAATTTCCATATCAATTTTAGAATTAGCTTGTCAGTTTCTACAAAGAAATCAGCTAGATCTAATGAGTATTACATTAAATCTGTAGATCGGTTTGGGGGATATTGCTATCCAAATCGTATGTCTTCTGATTAATGAGCATGGGATACTTTGTTAAGTATTTTATTCTTTTTAATGTTATTATAAATTGATTTTTTCTTAATTTCTTTTTGGATGGATATTGCAAGTATAAGAAAGACAATTGATGTTTGTGCGTTGAAACCAAATTCTGCAGTATTGCTGACCTTGTTTATTCTTTTTTTAAAGTGAGTTTCTTAGGCTATTCTATATACAAGATCATGTCGTCTGCAAACAGAGATAGTTTTACTTTTTGTGGTCCGATTGGGATGCCATTTTTTTTGTTTATTTTCTTATTTGCCCTGGCTAGAACTTTAGTACAATATTTAATAGAAGTGGAAAGAGGACATTCTTCTTTTGTTTCTGATCTTAATGAGAAAATATCCAGTCTTTCACCAGTAAATATGATGTTAACTCTTGGTTTTTTATGGATATCTTTGACCAGGTTGAGGAAGTTCTCTCCTGTTCCTAGCCTGTAGAGTGGTTATATCATTAAAAAGATGTTAAATATTGTCAAATACTTTTTCTGCATCTATTGAGATGATTGCATGATTTTTGCTTTTTATTCTATTGATATGGGGTATTACATTATGATTATTAAACTAATCTCACATACTGGGGTAGATTTTCTCTTAGCTGTGGTATGTAATTCTCTCTTTTTTTTTTCACTCAGTTTGCTAACATTTTGCTGAGGGTTTTCATGTCCAGATTCATAAGACACATTGGACTGTAGCTTTCTTTATTGTGATGTCTTCGTTTAATCTTCTTTTCACAGTAACACTGGCTTCATAGAATGAGTTGTGAAGTGTCCCTCTTCTATATTTTTGAAGAGTTTACAAAAAATAGGTATTAATTCTTCTTTAAATATTTCATACAATTCAGTAGTGAAGTCCTCTGGCCCCCTAGGTTTTCTCTTGTGTGAGTATTTTTTAAAATTGCTAGTTCAATCCCTTTACTTTTTATAGGTCTATTCATATTACATTTTTTTTTTCCTTGAGTCAGTTTTGACAGTTGTGTGTTTCTAAAAATTTTTCCATTAACTCTCAGTTTTCTAATTTAGTAGCATATAATTGATCATAGTATTCTCTTATAATCATTTTTATTTTTGTAAGAGCAATAGCAATATCCCCTTTTTATTTCTGATATCACTAATTTATCTTCTCTCTTTTTATTTTGGTCAGCCTAACTAAAAGTTCATCAATTTTCTTGACCTATCCAAAAATCAGCTTTGGTTTCATTGATTTTCCGTTTTTTTCTATTCTCTATTTCATTAATTTCTACTCTTTTTATTTATTTTTAATATTTCACTTCTTTTATTTGCTGTAGGGTTAGTTTGATCTTCTTTTCCAGTGGTTTAGGTTGAAGTTTAGGTTGTTAATTTGAGATATTTCTTTATCGTTAATATAGACACTTAAAGCGACAGTTTCCTTTAAGAAATACCTTAGCCACATTCCATATGTTTTGGTATGTTGCGCTTTTAGTCCCATTCATTTCAAAGTACTTTATTATTTCCCTTTTGATTTCTTCTTTGACCCGGTTGATAATTTAGGAGTTTTATTTAATTTCCATACATTCATGAGTTTCCAAATTTCTAATTCTAATTTCATTCCATTATGATTGGAAAACAGCTACATTATTTTTATACTTACAAATTTACTGAGGTTTGTTTGATGGCCTATTTGGAGAATGTTCCACACACACTTGAGAAGAATGCATATTTCATTGCTGGTTAGAGTGTTCCATAGATGTCTCTTAGGTCCAGTTGGTTTATAGTGTTCTTCAACTCTTTTGTTTCTTTGCTGCCCTTCTGCCTAGTAATTCTATCCATTAATGAAAGAGGGGTATTGAAGTCTTCAACTATTATTTTTGAATTGTCTATTTCTCTCTTCATTTCCTTCAGCTTTTGCTTCATGTGTTTTGATACTGTGTTATTAAGGGAGTACATGTTTGTAATTCTTATATATTCTTAATGGATTAGCCCTTTACCATTATACAATGTTCCTTTCTATCTTTAGTAAAATATTTTCTTTTAGTCTGTGATCAGTATTGCCACTCCGGTTTTCTTGTGGTGGTCACTTGGATGATATATATTTTTTAACATTAACTTTCAATTTATTTGTATCTTTGAACCTAAACAGTGTTTCCAATAGACAGCATAGAGTTGGAACGTGGTTTTTTAAATCCAGTCTGACAATCTTTGCTTTTTTGTTTGATTGTTTAATCTATTTTATTTAATCGACTATTACTTAATCCATTTAACATTTATATTAATAAATATAATTTACTAATTATAAATAAATTTACTTGTGCCATTTTACTTTATATTTCCTTAGTATTGCTGTAAAGTTTACCATTGAGAAATAAAAATAAAATCATAAGCTCCCCCCAACTGACTAAATGGACCTCCTCTTGGCTAAGGGGACTCCAGAGAAACCTTAAAAACTGAATTCCTAGCCATGCGAGGATGGGAGATCAGACACACCTAATTATACCTTCTCCCTCCCTAAGGGCCATTAGGCTTACTTTCTTAAGGGTTAAACAGAACCCAGCCCTTTTGAAAGCCTTGCCAGGCTCCCCTCCCTTTTTGCAGTTTCAACACAGTAATTGACTGGCATTTCTTCTTGTTAAGGGACTACCACCCTTAGAATGGTTCTGGCCAGTCTAAAGAGGCTATGTACTTTGGCCAGGCGCGGAGGCTCACGCCTGTAATCCCAGCACTTTGGGAGGCCGAGGCGGGCGGATCACGAGGTCAGGAGATCGAGACCATCCTGGCTAACATGGTGAAACCCCGTCTCTACTAAAAGTACAAAAAATTAGCTGGGCGCTGTGGCGGGGGCCTGTAGTCCCGGCTACTCGGGAGGCTGAGGCAGGAAAATGGCATGAACCCAGGAGGCGGAGATTGCAGTGAGCCGAGATCGCGCCACTGCACTCCAGTCTGGGCAACAGAGTGAGACTCCGTCTCAAAAAAAAAATAAAATAAAATAAAGAGTGCTGAGTGCTATGTACTGAGTGCCTTCATATTCTCTGCTTCACCTTTTGACTAATAGAGTCTAATTTAGTACACTTAAATATTCAGTCTCCACCCCCATATGATCATGGGATACATGTAACATGCATGTTTATTTATTATGCAGGTACATGCTCCCTCTTCGTGAATATTCATAGCTTCTCCTATAACCTATTGACTGTGTACATATACTTAGCTAACTCATTCAGCATAAATTACCTTCTCACTCTTTTCTCCCTCAAAGTGCCTGCTTTTGATTTCTGCTGGAGGCTACACTTTCCGTCTTGCAGATGGCCAGCCTGCATACTACAACCCTTTATAAGAAATAAAGCTCTCCTCTCCAAGTTTATGAACCTCGTGATTCTTCAGTTAACACCCTATGCATCTTAAATTATGAAAATCAGCTTCATATTTATACTATCTTAATTCCAATGAGATATAGAATCATGACCACCATTTAGCAGTATTCCTCCCCCCACCTTTTATGGTATTATTATTATACATATTATATCTATTAATGTTACAACCCCAACGATACATTGTTGTAATTATTACTTGTATAATTTTTTGTCTGTTAAGGAAGCTGAGAGAAGATAGAAGAGCCATTATATCCTTATTAGCTTTTATCATATTAACCTCTTTACTTAACATTTCTGGTTCTCTTTGTTCATTTATTCCTGTAGATTTAAGTTACCGTCTAGAGTCATTTCTTTCACCAAATAAAGCTTTGCTTCCACTCACTTTCTTTGTGCTTTTATTAGCAAATATAGTACATTTCTATATATTATATACCCCATAAAACATCATATAGGTATTATTTTATAAAATTGTTTTAAAAACAGTTAAGAGTAGAAAGGAGAAAATTATGCAGGTATATTATTTTCTGTAATTACATAATTATCTTCACTAGTGCGGGGGTGTGTGTGTGTGTGTGTGTGTCTGAATTATTGTCTGCAGTTTTCAACATGAAGAACTTTCTTTAGTATTTCTTGTAAGACAGGTCATCTAACAACAAATTTTCTTCATTTTTGTTTATCTAAGAATGCATTTTACCTTCATTTTTGAAAGATAGCTTTGCTGAATGTAGGAGTCTAGTTGACAGGTGTTTTTCTTCTGAGCATTCTGAATGTTATCTCACTGTGTTCTTGCCTCTATTGTTTCAGCTGAAAAGTCAGCTGTTAATTTTATTGGGTTCCCTTGTAATTGATAAGTCATTTTTTTCTTGCTGCTTTCAAGATTTTCTTCTTGTCTTTGGCTTTCAGCATTTTTACTATAATCTACTTATGAATCTGTTTGCATTTATCCTGCCCAAAGTTCATTGAGCTTCCTGGAAGTATAGATTGTTGTTTTTCAATAAATTTGGGAAGTTTCCTGTCTTTATTTTTGCTCCTTTTACTTTCTCCTCTCCTTCTGGTATTGCCATTATGTGTATGTTGGTGTGCTTATTGGTCTTCCTTATTTCTCTGAGACTCTGTTTAATTTTCTTTATTATTTTTTCTCTCTGTTCTTCAGCTTGCGTACTCTCTATTGATCTATTTTCAAGTTTATTATTTCTTCTGCCAATTCAAATTTTTTATTGGGACCCTCTAGTGAATTTTTCATTTTAGGTCCTGTACTTTTAAAGTCCAGACTTCTATTATTTCTTTATAATTTCTATTTCTTTATTGACATTATTTATTCAATGGGATATTTTTATTATATATTTCTTTTGCTTCTTTAATTATGCTTCCTTTAGTTTTTTGAACATATTTATAATGGGTATTTTGAAGTCTTTGTTAAGTCTGCCATTTGGTTGCTCTCACAGGCAATTTCTTTTGCCTGATATGTTTCCAGTATATGGATCATATATATATATATATATATATTTGCATATCTCATAATTTTTTTGTTTAAAATTGTATATTTTAGATACAATTTTGTAGCAACTCTGAGTATCCCCTTTCTCATCTGAGACTTGTCATTTGCTTGTTGTACTATTTAGTAATTAGCAGGATTATTTTAGTAAAATTTATTTTCCTAGCAGTGTTAAGCCTCTGGTGTTGCTCCTCAGCAGGATGTGGCAAAGGTATGACCATCACACTCTAGGATGATGGTGGTTTTGGCAGGTCTCTCTTTGATTGATTCTCTAACTAACTACATGCAGCTGTTAACCTCTATTCAATTGCCAGATGATTGATGTATTTTTTCCAACAGTAGCCTGGGGCCTAAATTGGTCCACATACTAATCTAATCAAATTGGGCTGCCTAGAAGGAGTAGTTGCATAGGTCAGTGTTAGAGATTTGTTTATGTCTGACCCCTGGCAGGCTCCTCCCAGCTTTCTTTTTCTCAGGTTATCAACTCCCTCCCCTATTCCCAAGCAAAATTTCTGAGCTGTGGATCTGGAGTTGGGGTTGGAGATAGGGTATAATTCTCTTTGAGTGGCATCCCTACTTTAGGAACTGAGGTTCAGTGACAGAGTAGGCAGTAGCCTCAGTTCTTCTTGGCTTGCCTCTTCTGGTGTGAAATTACTGCCTTATGGGCCAGGTCCCTGGTATTCTCAGTGGCACTGTGTCCAAGATAAAGCCTTGATACCATCAGTGGGGGCTTGGCAGAAAAAGGGCACCCCTATCTCTCAGTCGTACTTGCCTGGAACTTAGCCTCAGCAGCAGGTAGCTGAGGGCAGGATGAGAAACGCTGAAATCCTGTAAGGATGATAGACCACTGGCTGGTACCTGAAGGGAAAGAAAGCCATATTCTTGGCTGCGTCAGTCTGGAGTGAAGTTTCCATTTCATTGAGTTGAGAATCTCCACAGTTTTTGAGAGCACACTAAGGCTTAAACTTCCACATATTCCATTTCAAATGAAGTCAGTTTCTCTGGGAAGAGATTAGGAGCTGTCTGCCTTAAGGCCTGTTTCTATCCCCACTCCAAATCTCCCAGCCAGAGCTCTGGAGCTAGAAGTAGAAGCAAAGACACCTTTCTTTCCAAGTGATATCTCCTCTTTAGGCGCTGCATACTCAGTGGAGTGTGGGGCAATAGCCTGAAATCTTTTTAAGTATCCTCTCTTGGTATAGGTACACCATCCTATATGCCAGAACAATGACAATGACCTTTCTTGCTTAGGAAAATAGTCCTCTGACTGGGAGATGTAGGGAGAGAGAACCTGTGCTTTTGGCTGCACCTGTCTGGAGTGGATTTTCTATCTGGTTGAGCTAAAAGATAGGAGAGATGGAGTGGAACCTTGTTCAAAGACTACATACTCTTACCTTTAAAAGCTATAATAGATTTTCTTGAGTAAATGTTTTTTCACTTCCTCCATGACCCAGGACCATTTCAAGAGACTTTAAGTTTTGTCCTTTTATAATTTTCACCAGTTTTGCATGGGAATGTGTCCATAGAATTCCTCATGCCGTCATGCCAGAAGCAGAACTCTGCACCATTGGGTTGTTTTTGCTGTCGTTGATGTTTGTTTTTTTTAAAATAGATTTTTTTGTAGCAGTACAAAAAATTTCGGCTTCTCCATAGTAAAAACAAATGACATTGGTTATTATGTGTGGTGGGCAGAATAATGACCCTCTAAGACATTCATGTTCCATTCCCCAGAACCTGTGAATATGTCACCTGACATGGCAAAAGGGACTTTGCAGATGTGAATAAGGGTATGGATTTTGAGATTGAGAGATTATCCTGGAATATGTAGGTGGGCCCAATCTAATCACACTACACCATAAAAGTAGAGGACCTCCCATTCTAGTTAGGAAGATATGTGGTGACAAAAGAAGAGTCAGAGAGATGTGACATCGACAGCTTTCAAAATGGAGAAAGGGGGCCAGGAGCAAAATAATGTGGGTGGCCTCTAGAAGCTGGAAAAGGCAAGGAAACAGATTCTTTCTGAAAGCCTCAAGATCAGCATGCAGCCCTGCTAACATCTTGATTTTATATAGCCCAGTGAGACTTGTATCAGATATTTGACCTATAGAACTATAATACTTTGTATTAAGTCATTCTTACGATAATTTATTACAGCAGCAACAGAAATGAATATATTTCAAAATATTTTTTTCTGTAATGCCTTAACAAGTACAAAAGGAATTGTGTCCTGCTTTCACAAAAAATAAGTAAAATTTAATGTGCTGGCCTATGCATTTAAATAGCCTGGTAGGGTTACCTCTGTGTAATCAGAACCCAATCCTCTGTAGCCCCTCTGAGAATTTTCCTAAGAGGAATCAGCATGCTCATAGTTGTGTGATGGCCCTGGTAACAGTCCCTCCTGTCCAGCCTCGCATTTGTTGTCCTGACTTCTTGCATCCTTAATTGAGCACTGGGTCAGTATTTGACATTAACTTATGATTTCCTGTAATGCTTTTGTTCCCATGACCTAGTCTCTTAGATTAGTGCTTCTCAAAGTGTGATCTTCAGACCAGCAACATCAGCATCACCTGGGAACTTGTTGGAAATGCATATTTTAAGCCTTACTCTACCTACTGAATTGAAAGCTCTGGGGATAGGCCCCAGCAACATGTTTTAACAAGCTCTCTAGTTAATTCTGATGCACGATGAAGTTGGAGAACCAGTCTTAGATCATAAAGTGAAATTTGAGTCATTTACTTTATTTCCTGAACTGATTCTTTTTACCCTCAATTTCAAGCCTATCTAGCTCCATACCATCATGGAAAACACTGAGCAAATGAACAATAAACTCACAGATACGCCAAGTGTTAAACAGTCTCAAGATCTGATCATCCAACAGTTGAAATCTCAAACAAGATTGTTAAAAATTTACTATGTGCCCTGACTTTAGTGCTGGTTTTATTCCATTAATGATGGCAATCACTACTTTCTTTCACTTGATCTTCTTTATGATTAACAGCATATATATGTCAAGCTGGTGAAATTGGCTTGACAATGAACTATGTGGCAATGGATCAGATGGCTCCAAGTAAGGATCATGTGCAACACCTGGCTTCAGAATTATCTGATAACCAGCTGAACAACCCTTTCTTTAATCGTGCTTGATTGCTTTAGACTACCCAGTCAGATAATGCATATTTCTAAGCTCAGTAAACAACTATTAATAAGAGAATATGCAAATTTAGCAGTAATTTTTAATTTATCAACTTTTTTGAATAAAGTACAGAGATGGAGGAAATGATAAATGAACTCTATTTTATTACATCTTGCCTACTTTTAACTTGTGATAGACCCATGTGCTAGGTTGTCTATTCAACAAAAAAAAATGGGGCTCAACAAAGTTAAGTGACTTGCCTTAAGTCACATAACTAATAACAGATGGAATCAGGTTTGAGATTGCTTAATCCCAAAGCCTATGATCTTTTCTTATAGACTGTAAAATCCAGAAGAATGGCAATTTGAATGTTTTTAACTTTTAATTTTGAAAAACTAATTTTAGATTTACTGTAAAGTTGTAAAAAAATGAAAGGTACAGCGTGTTTTCATATATCCTCCTCCTTGGAGCAGCCTGAGCTAATGTCCCTTTAAAAATGATTAATAAAATGATTTAAATAATAATTAAATATTACATGATTAAAAAAATTAAAAATAAATTAAGCTCAAGATCAAGATGGAGAAATCCATTGTAATGAGAAATAGAGCTTCCTCAAAGTTAGAGAGGGATTGAGGCTCAAAAAATTCACAGCAGTATAGAAACCAGATATATGTCTTCAAGTTCATGGCCTTAGGTTTTAATTTCTATTTAGGAAGAGTGGTACAGGACGTAAGTCCTTGAGTTTATGGAAGCAGGAAGGATTTCTTAATAATGAATGTAGGATGAGAGAATTCTCTATTGCAGGCTTATGGAGACAATTAGAATGCTTGTTGTTCATCTAGAAATTTGGATTAAAAAAAATCATCCACTAGAAAGTAGAATCCTAAGCCAATTCTCATCAATAAATAACAGCTCCTAGACACAGTAAGTACTCAAAATTTGCTGAATATTGAAGCATTTTACCAAAGGACACTCCTCTCCTCCATTCCCAAAGACTCCTGTGAGTGCTCATTTGCAAATGAAGTAATACATATGTCACTTATGACAAGTACCAGAAACATCAAGGCATCTGCTTCCCGGATAAAGTTGCACTTGGCCTTCATTTTGCCACAAAGCAAGGAGGTATGTGAGTCGTTTCAAGGAGCATGATACCACTGAGTGGCATTAGGGAGGCTAAGACCTGGCAGACACTGGCAGAAAGGCTCTAGTGCTCCCTGGCTTGGCTGGCAGCTTGGTACTTCTGATTTCCCAGCAGATGAGATGTCAGAGTCTGTGGACACGCACAGGGAGGAGCAGGTGTTGACCTCTGATCCACAGCCTTCTGGCATATTTCCTGTTTTTCTTCAATTGAAAAATCATTTATAGTAAATTGTTAACGTCCTCCTCATTCCATCCTGTCCCTAATGACACCTGCCGTTAGCCAGGGCTTCATATGGTACCACAAAGACAGTTTTCTCCCGAGAGAGAAGCAGAAATGTTACCTTTAAAGTTTGTTATATTTTCTATTCCCATATCTTAGCTTAGAGCATGAACACTTGCAGAATTATTATTATGTTTGAAAGAGAGAGATGCATTTATTTTAATGTAGCAGAAAAATCCAGAGTTCCAGATGGAAGAAAACAGCTTCCTGTAAGGCTTGGAATCTGACAGACCTGAGTATGAGCTGTAGCTGTGCGACTTCAGGCAAATTGCCTAACAGCCCTGAGTATCACATGTTCTCTTACCTGCAAAAGAGGAATAATATCTTCCCTGTATAGTTGGCTATTAATATAATATAATTAATTATTATATAATATAATTAATACAAAATATAAAGTAATATATGTATAACTTGTATACTGTTTATTAAAATAATTAATCTTTGTACTAGTTTACCTTTCTCTTTTCTCCTTTTCTTCCATCAGATAATCTTCATTGGTTCTGTAACTGAATTTGACGTGTTCCTTCTTTTGTTTTGTATGGTAAACTTCTAGTGATCTTCTTGAGATGGGGAAGGTGAGGACTAGACTTCATTGTTTCTTCCTCTGTGTAGTTGTCTCTGGGATGAAGTTATTTTCTTTCCATGGTCTTTAATGAGGATGATCACAGGATAAGTGAATACCCATTCACTATCTGTTGTGGGTATAATATACTCCACCTTTTCCTGAGACAAATCCTAATGCCCTGAAGAGAGTATTTGCTCCAGTTACTATTGCTGTGTAATGAATAACTCCAAACATTAGTGTTTTGAAACAATGGCAATATTTATTCTGCTCATCAATCCACAATTTGGGTAAGACTTGTTGGGGATAGCTCCTCTCTGCTTAATCTTGGGTCAGTTGAGGTGGCTTAAAGGATGATGGTTTGGATCATCTGAAGTTTAGTTACTCTTGTGTCTGGAGGTTGATGCTGAGAGGACTGTAGCAGTTGGAATATGGAATAGGTAGGGAGCCACAGGCAACTCTCTCTACCTTTATGTGATCACCTCAAAATAATCTCTCCAGGATGGCATCTTTGGAGTACCTGGGCTTCTTAACTGTGGACTCTAATCTCTCAAAACACATGTCCTGATAGAGAGCTGGGTTTAATTTGTATTATTTTTAGACTCACCCTTGGAAGGCATACAGCACTGCCTCTGCTACAGTACACAAATTGCAAATGAGCCACTAAGCGTGGCCCAAATTAGGTGAGGGAACTAGAAAGTACCTCTTACTTGGAGGAATATTCAAACTCTGAGAATTTTGTGGGACCAAAATTATTGATGTGGCCATTTTGGGACAATGCAATCTGTCACATGGTTTAAGCAGATTTTTAATGAAAGAGACTGAGCAATTGCTCCAAAGATTATATACTTTCTAGCTTCCTAACTTTCTCATATTGAACAAAGTTGGAAGCAAATTGTCTAAATAAGCAGTTCTCAAACTTAGGGTCCCTTAAAACTCTTAAGAAATTATTGAGGACCCTTAAGAGATTTTGTTTATGTGACTCATACCTCTCAATATTTATTACAGTAGATTAAAACTGAGAAATATTTAAAATATGTATTTATTTTAAAATAATAATTCTATTATATATTAACATAGATAACATTTTTAATGAAAAACAACTGTATTCCAAATAAAAATTTACTAATAAGAAAGTCATTATTTTACATTTTTGTAAATCCCTTTAATGTCTGACTTAAGAGGAGACAACTAGAACCTCATATCTGCTCCTATATTCAATTTGTTAAAATGTTATTTTGGTTGTTAAAGAGAGAAAAATCTAGACTCACAAAGTTATGTAGTTAGAATAGGGAGGTGTGTTTTAGTAAGTTCAGTAGACTGAGTGTGTCTCCTCAGAATTTATACAGGTTGAACATCCCTTATCCAAAACACTTGGACCCAGAATTGTTTCAGATTTCAGGTTTTCTTTTTATTTTGGAATATTTGTACTATACTTACTGGTTGAGCGTCCCAAATCTGAAAATATGAAATCTGAAATGCTCCAATGAGCATTTCCTTTGAGCATTATGTTAACACTCAAAAATCTCAGATTTTGGAGCATTTTCAATTTCAGATCCTCATATTTGAGATGTACAAGTGTATGTTGAAAGCCTTACCCCCAGTATGATGGTATTAGGAGCTAAGTCTTTTGGTAGATAATTAGTTCCCCTATGTGGTATTAGTTCTCCTATAAAAGAGACCCCAGAGGCCTCCTTCACCCCTTTCCACCATGTGAGAACACAGCTTCCAGAAGAGGGCTTTCACCAGACACCAAGTCTGCGCCACCTTGATCTTCTACTCCCCAGCCTCCAAAACTGTGACAAATAAATTCTATTGTTTATAAGCTACCCAGCCACGGTATTCTATTATAGCACCTTGAATGGATTAACAATAACTTAGACCACTCAGATAACTGGATATACTGCTTTGATACTACACCAAAACTCAACAAGTTTCCTAAAGGTTAGTTGCAATATAGAATCTGAAACCTTACCAATGAGTCTACATACCTGAGAGAGAATAAGAGTGAAAAAAAAACAAAAACCAAATGACATCTTAATGTTACTATAAAAATAGCTTTGCCCTTACAGACTTCCTGAAAGTGTCTTGGGAACCCCCAGGGAGCCTGAATCACACTTGAAGAAACACAGACTATGATTTGTCAACAATTCTCCCCAGGCTTTTGACAATTGCCTCATATTGGCCTCTCAGTTCCTCTTTTTATGATTTTCTTTCTGAAGCCTTTTCTCTTTGTCACCAATTCATCTATTATCCCTCCCTTCCTCCCCATCACCCACTGTCATCTCCCTGTTGAACTTATTAAGTCTATAACCCCATCATTGCTGACTAGGGTCTTATAAATGTCATCACTTCAGGCTGTGAGTGTCAGCTGCATTTTTCTACCTACAGTTACTGGTGCACTTACAGAAGGGTTTAATGGGCTGGGTCTAGGTGACTCAGGTATCAATGGCTCATATGGGGACAGGCTTAAACTCTGGTCCCCTGAAAAGGGAGGGACAAGGTAGAAATGGTGGGGGTCTTTCATTATGGGTTTTATCTACTTTTCCTCTCAAGTAATTATAATCAAACATATCTCTTTTACCATTCTAGCATAGAATTACAATTTCTATTCACTTTATAACCTCTTACATGTTTTTATTATATTTTTGAAATTACTTTGTTTACTTGATTAGTGTTTCTCTTCCCCAGGAGCATGTCAGCTCTATGAGGGAATAGGCGATGTCCTTAATTATTTTATTCCCAGTCTTTAGGATAGTTCCTAGTACATAGTAGGGCTTCAATAAATATTCTATAAATAACTCTCTCCACTGAGAAGGTTAGATGTCCTTGTGAAAACCTCCTATATGGTACATAAAAATTTATATGCCTCTTATATTCATGACTATTCTTTTGTAGCAGATTATCTCAGGCTTACTTGGAGAATGTTTACAATGAAAGACTATATAATAGAGTGATAAAGAGCCAGACTATGAACCTGAGATACCCAGGTTCAAATCCTGGCTCTCAGGGCCAGGCATGGTGGCTCACATCTGTAATCCTAGCACTTTGGGAGTCCAATGTGTGAGGATTGCTTGAGGCCAGGAATTCAAGAACAGCCTGGGCAACATAATGAGGTCCCATCCCTACAAAAAATAAAAAATTAGCCAGGCATGATGGTGTGTGCCTATATTCCTAGCTACTGGGGAGGCTGAGGTGGGAGGATCACTTGGGCCCAGGAGTTGGAAGCTGCAGTGAGTTATCCACTGCTGCACTCCAGCCTGGATAACAGAGCAAGAACCTGCCTCAAAAAATAAAAATAAAAATAAGCAATTGTGGCTGTCTCAATTTTCAGCTTTGTGACCCTGAGTAAGATGCTTTGCCCCTTTCTCTCTGTAAAATGTGGATGCTAATACTACCAGCCTTATAGTGTAATAGTGAGTCAAATTCTTAGACAAGCACCTGTCAGCTAGGTACATGTTTACTGTTGCTATTAAGTGCTCCTGCTTGTGTTTCACCATGCTTTTTGGATAACGAAGAATGCCATGCTTTTTTTCTAATTTCTGGGAGGGAGCAGCAGAGGTCTATCCTGTTCTCCACTAATAACAGACAGCTGTTTTTCTTTCCAGGATATTATTCCCTGTATCTACAGCTTAGAGGTGGTACATGGTCCTGGAGGTTGTAAAACCATGAAACCACATTGAGGACAAGGCATGTAACCATGGGTATCTAGAGTGGTGAAAGAAAGCCTATGAATGACAAGAACCAATACTAATAGCTAATTTGCTTTGTGTTTTTACTATGTGATATACACTGTCCTAAGCAAAAAACTAAATGTAAGTTAATATTTATTTTACTTGTAATTAAATTTTACTTGATTTAATTATCACAAGAAGCTGATGAGGTAGGAACAATTAATATCTCGATTTTTAAAGATGAGGTTACTGGGATACACAAAGTAAAATACTTCACACGAAGTTACATAGGCTAGGATTCAAACTAAGCTTGTTTTGTTTCCATATCCATGCTATTAACCATTGTGACATTAAAAAAAATTCCTGAGTACCTTCTATTCTGTGGATTGATAGCTGCTCAAATTGGTGTAGGTCCAGGAAGAAGGAAATATGAACAGGGGCCTTCCCTAGACCAAAATAACTACTAGGCAAGTGAGAGTTCCTTGGACCATAAATCTGAGGTGTGCACAGCCATGATTCTCCCCTCTTCTTCTTGGCTTGGGAAAACAGACACATTTTTCACTTACCTCTGGGTGAAAACAGGACAAACATTTGTGATGTGCATTTCAGCAAATGTGCATGGTCTCTTACTAACAGTAAAATGAGAAACTGGGATGCTGTCATGAAGCAATCTGCAAAGTCACTTTGGGATTGAAAACCAAGGTGCATCTAATTATGAACACTATTGCTACTGTTAAGCAAAAGTAAAGGAAGAATCAGCTCTGGAAAACAGAGAGGCATCTTATGGTAATGAAATGGTCACTTGTCAGCCATTAAGTCTAAGAAATATGTATAAACAAAGGACATAAAGAAACAATCAATTTCCCTTAAGGTCTGGCTAGGAAATGACTGTACTTCACAGATAATTGCAACCTGAGTGATATTTTATTCCTCTCAAAGCATGTGAAATGATTTTGTCATTGGTATTATTTTAATGAAAGAAACACATTACCTCCAATTAATGCAGGTTAATTTTATGTTTACCTGCTTTCCAAAGGAGATTCTAGGCTATTTAATGAAAAGCAGTGTTCTTCTCCAGAGAGGAAATTGATGATATATTTTGGTCTTAGATAACTCCCAGTTGCTATGGAAGCATGAAACTTTGTACATCTTGGGGTATAATGTAGTACCCTGGAAAGATCACTAATATGTCCTGCTTCTCATCCTAATTGATGTCCAAATGCTTGTATGATTTGATCAATTTCCTTCTGTGTAAACTAACAGGAATGTTCTGTAAGTAAATTTCTACGTAGCTCTTAAGTTCTAGGTTCTTTCTGAGATTATGTTATCAAAACACAATGAAAGAAGCAATATTGGAGCCTCTGGTATTGTTAGCCCACCTTTAACACTACTCCTATGGCCCTATCTCAACACTCCATCTCAGGCTCCCCACTCATGTGATGGAGGAGGGTACAGGAAAACGGGAGATGTTTGGCAAAGGGCACAAAATCTTATTTAGACAGGAGAAAAAAGTTTCATTGAACTATTGAATGGCATGGTGACTATAGTTAATAATAATGTATATTTCTAGTTGCTAAAAGAATAGATTTTACTCTAAAAGTTTAGCCTAAAGAGTGAATTTAGTGTTACTTGCCTTCAAGTGTTCTCACCACAAACAAACAAAAAAAATGACAAGCATGTAAGGTGATTGACGTGTTAATTAGCTCAATTTAATCATTCCATGATGTATGTATGTGTGTGTGTGTATATCTATATATATATATATATATGACAATGAACCCCATAGATATATACAATAAAAAACTCGATGTGGTTTTTGATCAGTAAGCACATTTATAAATCATCTAGTTTTAATACTGTTAAGCTACAAAGACATATATAGTAGTTTTAAACTCAGAGATGGATGAATTTTGCTCATGTAAATGTTATTTTACATGACAATGGAGTTGAAGGAAAAATGGCTCTTCCCAGGGCTTGGGTTTCCTAATCAGTAGCCAGGAGTAGAGAGAACAACTCTGCCTACTACATAGGGT
Organism: Homo sapiens; assembly: GCF_000001405.40. Classification (NCBI taxonomy): domain Eukaryota; kingdom Metazoa; phylum Chordata; class Mammalia; order Primates; family Hominidae; genus Homo; species Homo sapiens. The sequence goes on along the minus strand of NC_000002.12, from coordinate 198,910,321 downwards.
GGAAGATCCAATACAAAGTTATTTTTAAGCCACACTTAATTTCCCTACTAACTGTAGGTTCATGAAAGCAGAAACCTTGTCTTTCTGGTTCTCTCAGCATCCTTGAAGCCTAGACAATTCTTGACATGGTAGACACCTAATGAGTAACATTTTTAAATGAATGAATTAAAATTGTTTTCCTGGACCTAACTCCGTTGAATATTTCATGACTTTCAGAAACAACCCTGAATTTGCACATCTATGATAAGTTGACTTGAATATGTATGGAGATGAGATTTATGTTATGATGCTCATGGACAGATGATTCCTACTTAACCCTCAATACTCTTGATAACAACTGCTTTGTAATACATTAGTTTGTAAACTCAGAATTCCCTGATTTTACATTATAAATCCGATGATATAGTTAGCATAGATAGATTTCTTTAATGTAAATTTTAAAAAACTTTTCCTGCTTTTAAATGAAAGCTTCCTTCAGGCAAACAAATTTTAAGTAAAAATATTCAAGTTTGTGGAGGGTAGAATTGCTGATCTTTATTGGTGAATTCTGGGTTCACCCATTGACAGCTTCTGGAAATTCCTTTCTGGTTGCCAATGTTTTAGTCTATTTCCATGGATGCATAAGAAGGTCTCATTTTGTGGATAATTGATTATGATGTGGCATTTGTCTGCTGAATAGTGCAAAGCAAGGGTTTTGACTCAGTCTGTTCTTGGCCTCTTTTTTTAAAAAATAAGCAGCCTTATTTAGAAAGTTGGAATAGATACCTGTAACCAAAGCTATAGAAAAATAAATATGCCAGATTGAGAAATTATATCTGGTAAAAATTTAACAAAGAAATTTAAATATATTTTATTTTAATTGAGTGAATTTGGTGATTATTTAAGGCCAGGTCCTACACTTTTGAGGATTTCATAGAGTTAAGCAACTTTTAGTTGAATAAATATACTGTCAAACCAGAGTTCAGCTGGTAAATTATTTATTTTCAATTCATTTGAATACACCATCCATCCTTAACATTTCTGAGGCCTGTAGATTATAACTACATGGCTGAATATAATGCCTAATAATTTGCAAATTGCTTTGTTGGTCCTGACATATCTCTCCATTTATAATGAAGAGTCTCTTGTGAGTAAGCATTGTAACCTTCACAAGCTCTTAAGAAGGCCAAGTTGAAGTAAAAAACAAAACCTTATAAAAACCACCCCACTATAAATTAGCTTTAATCTGAATGCTGTTTTCCTCAGAATGTAGGAAATGTATTTATTCTTGTCTTGGACCTCACATAGCATTCCTCTTAGATTCTGCGATGAAGGATTTTACTGGGCTCTATTATTTGTTCAAGTGTTTTTATAGTTAGATAGTAAGGACATGAAGGGGTTAGAGAGATTAATAATGCAAGGAATGCATGCTGCTAACAGAATAGCGGCAATTTTTTAATATTTCAAAGTTCATTAATAAAAGACTACATCATAATTTTAAAAGCTGTGATGGTGCCCATCATACAAGGACAATGTGAGCATTAGTTGGATTTTGTACATGTCTTCCACACAGTTCACAATGCCACTGTTAACAACTGTGCCAACAATTTACCCTTCTCAAGGTTACTTGATTTTCCATGTAGAAGTGTCTCTATTTTTTCTCAGAAAGCAAAAATAGAGAGGCAAAATTATAGGCTATTTGTAGAAAGTAAACTTGGAATAAGTATTTCCTTCTAAATGTGTGTTTTCAATATTTTTATGACATCAGTATTTTTCAAATGAAATCTATACACAGGAATATCAACATCTTTTATAAACATTTCTCTGCAAGGAAGCAAAAATATATAAAGTGGTTATATTTAGCCACAGACCCCTTTGGACAAAAGGTAGACGGCTTAGATTCTAGTTTTAATTTAGACTAGCTGCTATTGGGTTTGGAGCACATCACAGAATTGCGATGCATAAAATGTGAATGTAATCCTCACTGCTTCAAATTCTCCACAATGAAAACTTATATGGAAAAGTATGCTGTGACAACAGCAATGAAACAATCTATGTAAGGTGTTTAAGATAAAAAGAGTTTAATTTTAATTTACTTTATAAAAATAGATGATTTATTGAGGAAAAATTTCCATTGCCTCTAAAATAAAGTCCCAAATTATTTACGTGACTCAAAAGGTCCACTGTAATCTCTGACCCCACCTGCTTCTCCACACTTATGAGCCATCATTGTCTCCTTGGTTTTCTGAATTCAAGCCATTCTAAATTTTAGTTCAGTGCTGTTCAGTAGAACCTACTGTAGTGACAGAAATGTTCTGTGTCTGTGCTCTCCAACCTGGTAACTACTAGCTACACGTTACTATCGAGGACTTGAAATGCACCTGGCATGACTGAGGAATTGAATTTTTAGGCTTGTTTAATTACAATTTGTTTACATTTAAACTTAACCACACATGGCTAGAGGCTATTGTATTGGACAGTACGACTATAGTTCTCAAATGAGGTGCATTATTTCTCATTTCCAGCCCTTCAAACTTGTAAATGTGTTGTTTTTTTTCTGCCTAAAACACCCCCTTTTATTTTAGGCAGCTAATTATTACTTTTCCATAGTATTACCTCCTTAGGGAAGTCTTCCCATAACATAAAGACCAATATGAGTGCCCCTCTTATGCACCCCTTGTCACCCTGTAACCTTATTAAGAATGGTTAGAGTCAATATTTATTGCAGAATCATTATCTTCTAGTTCATTTACTTCATTTAATCCATGCAGAAACTATAAGATAAAATTGATTCTTTAATCATATGATTTGATTATCATTATGCTTATTTTACAAATGAGAAATGGAGGTTTAGGTAGATTAAGTAATTTATGCAAGGTGAGTTTTCCTATAACACTCATCATACTTGTGATTACATTTTTTAATATCTCTATTTTCTTTCAGACTCTAAATTCTAGACTTCACTTCTTATTCAGGCCTGTATGCCTTGCCCTGAGTATTTGGCACATGGTAGATATCCAGTTGTTTATGGAATGAATGAATGAACAGTCATGAAATGTGCTATTTAAATATGAAAAACTATGCTATTATTATAATTCTCAGTTAACATTCTCCTATCATTTAAATTTGTCCTTTATTGAAAATGTATACTAACTATAGAGAAGTTTCAAATTATGCTGTTTCTCAACAATGCTATCCCATTTAAACATTTATATATTTGCAATTGTTTATAGATACTTATTCATTCATATAATATATATCTAGACAATTATATATTTATTGAAGTTCTATATGTTATGCAAGATGGTATAAAGAATCCTGGAATAGGAATAAAGACATACATGTTTTTGCCTTTTTCTGCCCTATTAAGATATGTAATCCTGAATAAGTGACTTCTCATTTCTAGGATTCAGTTTCCTCAGTCATAAAATTTGTGGATTAGATTAGATGATCTTTAAGATCATTTCTGCCTCATGTATTTTATGATTCTATGTGTGGTGACATTAATTGTAATATGTTGAACTCTTAAAATGACAGAAATGATTGGATAATGTAAGTAATGTTTTAAAAATAACTTTATCAAATAGTGTTATTAAAGAGCCAAGCATATGCATTTAAAAATTTATTTTTTAATAGTAATAAACTTTCAATAACACTTCCAATAAACAAAACAACAATTTTAGCAGGGTTATATTATTAACAAGTTTACCAACTGCCTCAGTCTAATTCTTTCCTACCTGGTGTGTAGATCATAAAAAGCTATTTCTTGTCTGGGCGCCGTGGCTCACACCTGTAATCCCAGCACTTTGGAGGCCGAGGTGGGCGGATCACCTGAGGTTGGGAGTTCGAGACCAGCCTGACCAACATGGTCATTTTGGGGGCTGGAAGATCTGCTTTCTAGGCAGCTCTGTCATATGGCTTGCAAGTAGGTTGCTGGCTGTTGGCTGGGAATTCAGCCAAAGCTTGGTTTCTCTCCATGTAGGACTCCCCTCAGGCTGCTTGGACTTCTTCACAAAATGGTGAATTGGTTTCAAAAGCAAGTATACCAAGAGAACATAAATGAGAGCATACTGTACTCTTTATGCTGCCTCTGGCCCTTTGGGATTAGGTAAGAGGAGGAAGAAGGGGAAGTAGAAGTGAAAAGTTACTGGGTTCATCACATGGTAATTTAGTATTAGTGTTCTCTGGGTTTGGAAAATGGCCAAAATCTTGCTCTTTATCTTCTCGGAAAATTTTGTGGGCTTTTCAGACATCCATCCTTACAGGTGACTTCTTGCACTGTTCCCTGAAGCAAAAGATAGCTCTGCAACTGGTCCTCTATGAGTTCTTCCTTTAGCTCAATTTTGGCTGGTACAACCCACATAGACTCTTTTTTGGGGTGACCTAGCTCTGGCGTTCAGAATTAATGACTCAATCTGACTCAAGCCCAACTCCTTTAAAAGGGTTTATTTTTGTCCATCACTGACAGAGGTGAAATTTTCTCACACTATAGTTGCTTTTCTTCTTCTTATGCCACGAGGAGCAGCTTCAGGTCTTTTAAACTTTTCTAAGTAGGAATCAATAAACAGTGTCCAAATCATGTAAGACTCACTTCAAACTTTCCAGGAAGTTTAAAAAATCCCTCTGCCACATAATGGGTCTCAAATTGGTGGAGGGTAGTTTTTCTCCTCTTGGGAGAAGAGAGGAAACACAAAATATTTCCAACAACTTGATCCTTAGAGATTCTGTCTCTTATATCGAACTATCTTAATCTATCCCATCTCTTTCTTTTATGTAGTCTAGAGGTAGTGATAGGCTAAGACTGACAGAACTAATTTTTGCCTACCATACGAATAAGTCCTGCATAGATATTCTGGCACCACATAGAAGACATGGTCATTTAGCAACTTAACACTTTTGTTCTGTGTGTGGCACTCAATAGGAACTGTAATAACAATGTCCCATTTTTACATCCTGTAATGTATGCATCTTATTTAAATGTTAGAAATTCCTTGATCATATTTTTGGGGGCATTCCGAGAAATCGTGTGTATCTATTTCAAATGAAAGACTCAAGGGTTGAAAAGATGTTTACCTTTCCAACAATAGTTTCAAGCCAATTCATATCACTGAAGGTGTGTTTCCAGTTGGCAAGTCTTGCACTGAAGTATTCAAGTTCTTATAACATCATTATGGTAGCTACAGTTTTGTGGCACTGTGCAGAGTCTGGAATAAAATTAGCCATTGTTTCAATGCAGTCAATAACGTAAGTTGGGCTCACTGTATTCACAAAGCAGGCATGTGTAACTAGCACATCTGGCAGTGTCTGCAACATAGGTGATTCCCCAAAGACTGAAATTCAATTTCCTTCTAACTTGTGGAGAGGTGAACTGTACCCATTATAGTCCACAGACCAGAAAGAAACTTCAAAATTTTTAACTGAGAAAGGGCCACAATGGTTTGAGTCCTTTAAGGCTTCAAAACAGAAATAACAGGTAGCTGAAACCTGGTCTTTGATATACAAAGTATTTATTGAGAAAATACTGTTTGAAATATCTGCTAGGCAATGAAGAGAAGAGCAAGTATGGTCCCCCACTCACCTGACCCCTGCTCCTACTAAAGAGCTTATATTTTTTGTTAGAAGATAGGAGGTATGAATAAGTCTCAATCAGTATACGTCTGCAAGAGCTGAATATCAAATAAGTGTTAAACAACAAATATCTACTACAATGCAGGTCACTCAGTAGGCATTCAATAAATATTTATTAAATAAAATAAATAAGGAAGAGGGTGAACTGAACTGTCCCAGGGCATCAGGAATATGCAGAAAAGATGATATGGGTCAAAAGGGAGGTTCTTGATGTTTTATTTTACCCATTAACTCCTAATTGATGTGACTATAATATGATGAATGAAGTTGTTTCGCTTGGATAAGATAGATTGCATTCTTTCAATGACTTCAATAGGAAAAAAATTGAGTCACTGCCTTGGGAATGAAATAGATGGAAGAAAGGAAGGAATAAATCAGGTGAAGATGAAAACCCTCAGCTTGGGGCTGTCTTTATATTCAGTGTAAGAATCACTGCAGAATCTTCCCCACTGTAATTTTCAGGTTAATCTGCCAGACACAGTTCATAAGTGGGAATAGAGGTAGAGTTTTGCTTTGTTTATTTCTAATGTTGATTTTTTAAGTCTGTCAATACACAGGTGGTAGATTTGGCCAGGGGCTGCAATTGAAACTGTTCTTTCTTTTAAGTTTTGAAGAGGTGCAGAGTTAACTTGACTTAAATTTATTGTGAGAAGTTTTTCCTAAATGAAATTCAGGCTTTGGGAAGGGGAATTTGAGCCATAGAGAAGTAGGAGAGAGGTGGAGGGTGTTTTATTTAACCAGTGCAGAAGTCCACTGCTTAAGGGAAGTATAGCTTGGACCTTCTAGAAATGAGGCAAGAAAGTATTTCTTTCAAAATGAAAAATACCATGAAGAAGCAGACTGTAGCTGCATCATTACTGTTATATGGTGAAGGTTATTTAAAATCTTAGCTAGTTGGTTTTTCTGTGTTGTGAACCTTACTGTTGATTTTCTTTCCTAAATGTATTTCCCAGTCTGTAGGTACCAAATGGGTGGAGGGCTTCTAAATGTCAAAACCTGGAAGAAAATTCTTGCTTTGTTGCTTCTGTATTACACTGTTTTTGATGAAAAAAATCAATGGAAAGTTTTTTTCTTTTTTTCCTGTCTTAAAATAAATAACTTCATTTTAACAGGACTATTTTGCTAAATAGTTAGTTTATGCAAAAGTACCTTTGCACTCCAGCATCTGAGAGCTTGTTTTCTTGGCATTGTATATGTGTTAGAGAAATCCTGGTGTGTGAACTTGATTGGGAGGGTGCCTTCTTCCTTCAGAAAAACTCTTCATCCTTCCCACTCATGGAGGTTCTGATTTGTGTTTAAATATTATTCTAATTTGTGTGTGTATGTTAAAAGCAGTTCTGTTCAACACAAGACTGAAAGGTTGTACTGTTCTTCTTTATTCATGTGTTGATGTTTGTTTGAATTTGTGTATTTGAGCTCACATCTCTGTGGTATATTTTAGGTTATAAATTCTTAAAGGACAGGAATTGTTACTCTTCGATTAACTTTGTATATCTTCCAGCATGGGTCTATGTATATACAAAAGCTTAATGCATTCAATCTGTTGAAAAATTACCAGGCCTGGGATTCTTCAAGGATAAAATTGTATTCTATGATATTTTTAGTTAAACATGGAATTCATCCAGACTGATTATTTCACAAAGCTGTCCTAATGTAAGGTCATATACAGACAAGAATGAAAGCAAAATGCTCTCATCTCACCAACATGTAAGAGTAGAGGGGGAGATAATTCACACATGATGTGCATCTACTATGTGACAGGTAATCTAACTGCTCAGGTTACCTCAGTTACTGTTCACAAGGCAAGAGGTAGAACAAGTAAAATGTATCTGAAGGACCATAGCATTTAGAATAGACTTACCTGCATTTGAATTCCTGTTCTGCTACTTTCTAACCTATGTAATCTTGGGAACTTTATTTTTTGAAACTCTGTCTGCTTATCAGAAAAGTTCCAGTTGTAATGCTTACCTCACAGCAACATTCCAAGGATCATAAATACATGTTATTATCATCAAGATAGGAGTTACCATACTCATTTGATACATGAAAAAGCTGAGGACAGAAGCATTGCATGATTTACCCGAGGTGACGCTGCAAATGCCTGGCTGGTTTTTTGATTCCAAGGCTTGTGATAGATTACAATATGAGTAATATTGGAGAGAATACAGTTAACTTGAGCTGTGGATGTGATCACGCTGAAACGTGCTTCTTGGCAGTGAGCAAAGAGCAGTCCTGATACCTGGGCGACAGAAGAATGGAGACATTAGGCTGGGATACTCACCATTTTTATTAGCCAAGGTTAGATTTGGTCATGAGTGAAAGAAGACCTAAAATGACAGTGGATTTGAAAAGGTAGAAGTATGCTTCTCCCTCATGTAAATGTAGGCAGTCTAGAGTTGATGTGTAGGTTTCAGAATTATTGGGGATTCAGGCTAGTTCTGTCTTGTGTTCTGCCACTCTTAACACTCAGCTTCTACCTTGTGGCTCAAGAAGGCTGATCCCCATCCATCCAGCCCATCTACTTTCCAAACAGCAAGAAGGAGGAACAAAGGCAGTAGAAAATGAGATCCCACTCCTTGTGGACACTTCCAGAAAGACATGCCTACCTCTTCTACTTGTATCCCATTGGCCAGAATGTAGTCACATGACCACAACTAGCTGCAAGGAGTTGTGCAGCCATGTATTAAGCTGTGAGTTCCATGACTGAGGACAAGAAGAAAATGGGATGGAGGGACCACCAGAAGTCTCTGCCACTCCATTTATTTACAGGTTTTGTGTTTGTAAAAGTAGTCTAAATGAAAATATTTCTTTTCTACTGTCCCTTATGCTTTCAATTTGATCAAGAAACTATTTTGATTAAGGAGGTGTCTTAAAGGTTTTATACCTGGAGCATTTGGGTTTTCAACTATAGACACAATCCATTCAGAAGAATATACAGAATCTTCTACAGAATTATAATATTTTAGATTAATAATATAATTATGTAATTATGTTATCAAATCACAATCTAAATTATTATGAACTTTTATATTTAAAAATATGATATGTTCTAAGGAGATAATACTGTTTTATCCTTTGTAAGCTTTCCTTTTTTAAACTCACAATGTTTGTGACTCTATGGTGATTCCTTCATTATTTTATATTCAAATAGATATTTGACTTTTATTCTTAATCATGTTAAGGAAATATGCTTCAATTCTGATTTCTAAGAGTTTTATTAAGGGATAAATGCTAAATTTTATTTTTGTGTAAAACAGTCTCTGTATTTATCACTCCATTTTCTTACACTCTTTCTTCTTCCTTTGTTTCTTTCTTCATTCCTACCATTCTTCATTGTATAGTTACATTACTTCTTTTTGTTCTTTATCTCTTATGTCTTTTCTTCCCAAGAACCAACTTGTAGCTCTGTCAATGTCACTTTTCTGTTTCCAGTATTATTAAATCTGTCATCATTACCAACCTATTCTTCCTGAATTTATAAGATTTATTCTTTCTAATAATAATAAAGAGCTGACTTGTGAATGATAAAAGTTTATTTTTTATTTTACTCTTTGTAGATTAAACATGAAAGATATTTGAGGTAGTATATATTTACCTTAAAAGCCTTATAAATAAATGTACTCTCATAAATGAAAATTAACTATTAAAATTTAATATGTGGTATTTTATGTTTTTATTATAAATTTCTAATTAGTCTTTAGTTATTTGGATTTAAAATTTAGTGAAGGATTATATAGAAAAGCGGTTACAAATTTTCATTGTTAATAAATGACAGTAGTTAATGTGATGTATTTAATAGCTTGTAAGTGAAAGGGAGAGTGGAATTGAAGGCAGTGTATGGGATCTAAGTTCTAAATAGATGTAATTAATCAGGAATAATAATAGCATAGTTTATTAGTTATTAGAATGATGCTGTTTTTAACAGAAAGAAGATAAATCGACAGTTCAGAAAAGATGGGGAATATACAGAATATATTTTGTATTAGTCAGGATCTGATCAATACACAGAAACCACACAGAAAACTGAGCAAAGTTTAATATAAAGAATTGTTAATTAGCACACAGAATTAGAGTAACACGATTAGTTAATAAGACTTAAGGAGGATTCTAAAGAATTAAAAATAAGCAGATTTAAGGAACAATCACTAGCTCAATGACAGAACACCCAATGTACAGTTCCCCGCACACAGTCTCCTTGCCCTACTCAGGGCTGAGATTCAGACATTGTTGGAGAGGCATAATCATGGATCACTGAATGGTAGAGAGGTAACTTTGGTGCTACACCAGTGGAACTTGCTGGAAATTCGCCCTTTAAGTTGCTGGGGAAGATGTTCAAGGGATGGTGTCTTGCTGCAGGCACGTGACTACAAAACCACCCAAGTAGGACACCAAGGGAAGTGGTTGGCTACTGATTTCTGACCACTGTACACTACAATAATTAGATGCTGAATAGGCTGCCCAGGCTGCAAAAGCTGGACTGAGCAAGTACACCAGAACCAGGAAAGAAAAGTCCTTGCTCCTATAATGTTTCTCCAGTGCCATCTACCAACAATATTAGCATTATGCCAGATGGCAAAGGAAAAATAGCTAAAGGACCCAGTCCCATTTTCTCAGAGCAGACAGTAAGTGATGCATTTGTAGCTGAGAATCAATAAATGAACAGATTTTGTATTATAACAAATTTTAAGAATCACAAATTTGGAATTAAGTTGAGAACACCAATGGGAAGTTATAGGGCCTTATCCTTCCTAGCACTGTTACTTATGTGTTTACATAGCAATATCACCCACTACTGGCCTCATATATAAAATCTACCATGCACATCTAGTGCCACATTTTGTATTTTTAATTCTGTTTTTTTTTAATTAAAAGAACCAAGGCTCTAGAGGGAGAGCTGACTGTGTTTTGTGTTAGAAGAACTTTGTGGTATCTTAATATTGTCACAAAGTAAAAGTCATTTTTAAAATGTTTGAAAAGACAAAGAAGCCAGCTTAGCTTGTTTTCCCCCAGCCAAGTCAGGATTATTTGAGCCTTAAAATTTCTGTGAAAACCCATGAATCCAGTGTTATTTAAGTGATGCATATAATGGATATATGCATAAAGAGATTATTTTATTTTTATCTGTTGCAGACTATGTGAACTGTATACCCAATTCAGGTTAGTGAAAACCAGACAAAATAAGTTTAGTTAAAGTCCATACATAGTTACTGGATACTCTCAATTAGAATTAGGCACTTAAATATGAAATAAGTTACAACAAAAGTTGTGAAAGAAGAGTAAAATTAAAATGATCAAGTGCTTGTGCCTGATGTACCAGGTTGCACGAAGATGAGTAAGATTGCAAAAGAAGCTGAGCTCAATAGTAGCAGCTCAGATACAATTAGTAGATATCAACTTTGTATCCTAGAACATGATTTTTGATGGTTACTCAAATCTACAACCTCTATATTAGAAAAACTTTGCTATTTTATTATTTTGTCATCATTTGTAATATCCATTTTAATTCTACTAGGTTTTTCTTTTAAAATACACATATACACATTCAAACATTTAAACATCTAATCATCAGTGTAAAATAACTTCTGCCCTAATATGATAGTCCACCCCATCCACCCACCCATTTCTGGGTTTTCTTTTGATAATCTATAAATTTTAGGTCAGATGGTTATTATTAATTTTATCCCTCATCAACCATTTTTGTTGCTTTCCTCTAAAACTGTCTATAGAACAGATTTCAATGATCATTGACAATCTCTTCACACATAATACATTTTCATCATTTGTGAGTTAGTCATTTTGATACATCATTGTTAAAATACACTTTTTCTTTTTTTTTTTTTTTTTGAGACGGAGTCTTGCTCTGTCACCCAGGCTGGAGTGCAGTGGCGCCATCTCGGCTCACTGCAAGCTCCGCCTCCTGGGTTCACGCCATTCTCCTGCCTCAGTCTCCCACGTAGCTGGGACTACAGGTGCCCACCACCACGCCCAGCTAATTTTTTTGTATTTTTGGTAGAGACGGGGTTTCACCATGTTAGCCAGGATGGTCTCGATCTCCTGACCTCGTGATGCACCCGCCTCGGCCTCCCAAACTGCTGAGATTACGGGCGTGAGCCACACTGCGCCCGGCCAAAATACACTTTTTCAAATAGCTTATTTAGAAATTTTATGGTGTGCTTTATTTGCACACTCATACGTGGACATTCAATGTCTCTCTATTAAATTTAGGCATGCATCATGAAACTATATCCTAAGATCTGTAGGCTTCATGCTGTTTTGTTTTTTCTTTCTTTCTTTCTTTCTTTTTTTCTTTCTTTCTTTCTTTCTTTCTTTCTTTCTTTCTTTCTTTCTTTCTTTCTTTCTTTCTTTTCTTTCTTTCTTTCTCTTTCTTTTTCTTTCTCTCTCTCTCTCTTTCTTTCCCTTCCTTCCTTCCTTCCTTCTTCTCTCTTTTCTTCCTTTCTCCTTTCCTTTCCTTTCTTTCTTTTTTCTTTCTTTTTTGATTTCCAACTTTTATTTTAACTTCAGGGATATGTGTGCAGGATGTTCAGGTTTATTACACTGGTAAATGTGTGCCATGGTCTCTTGTTGCACAGGTCATTCCATCACCGAGGTATTAAGACCAACATCCCTAAGCTACTCTTCCTGATGCTCTCTTCCTCCCCGTGTCACCCTCCAACAAGCCTCAGTGTGTGTCGACCCCATCCACCATGTGTCCATGTGTTTTCATCATTTATCTCTCACTTGTGAGGACATGCAGTATTTGGTTTTCTGTTCCTGCATTAGTTTGCTGAGGATAATGGCCTCCAGCTCCATCCATGTCCCTGCAAAACACATCATCTTAATGTATTTTATGGCTGCATAGTATTCCATGGTATATATGTACCACATTTTCTTCATTCAGTCTATCATTGATCAGCATTTAGGCTGATTTTATGTCTTTGCTATTGTGAATAGTACTGCAATGAACATGTGCATGCATGTATCTTTATAACAGAATGCTTTATATTCCTTTGGGTATATACCCAGTAATGGGATTGCTGGGTCAAATGGTATTTCTGCCTCTAGGTCTTTGAGGAATTGCCACACTCTCTTCTACAATGGTTGAACTAATTTATACTGCCACCAATAGTGTAAAAGCATTTCTTCTGCTGTTTTTGACTTTTAAATAACAGCCATTCTGACTGGTGTGAGATGGTATCTCATTGTGATTTTGATTTGTATTTCTCTAATGATCAGTGATGTTGAGCTTTTTTTCATATGTTTGTTGGCCACGTGTATGTCTTCTTATGAGAAATGTCTGTTCATGTCCTTTGCCCACTCTTTTTTTTTTTTTTTTTTTTGAGATGGAGTCTCACTCTGTCCCCCAGGCTGGAGTGCAGTGGCGCAATCTCAGCTCACTGCAAGCTCCACCTCCTGGGTTCATGCCATTCTCCTGCCTCAGCCTCCTGAGTAGCTGGGACTTTGCCCACTTTTTAATGGGATTTTTTTTCTTGTAAATTTGTTTAAGTTCCGTATAGATGCTGGATATTAGATCTTTGTCATATGGTTAGATTACAAAAATTTTCCCCATTCTGTATGTGTTCTGTTCACTCTGATGATAGTTTCTTTTGCTGTGCAGAAGCTCTTTAGTTTAATTAGATCTCATTTGTCAATTTTTGCTTTTGTTGCAATTGCTTTTGGCATCTTTATTATGGAATCTTTGCCTGTGCCTATGTCCTGAAAGGTATTGCCTAGATTTTCTTCTGGGGTTTTTATGGTTTTGGGTTTTACATTTAAATCTTTAATCCATCTTGAGTTGATTTTTATATATGGTGTAAGGCAGGTGTCCAGTTTCAATTTTCTGCATATGGCTAGCCAGTTCTCCCAGCACCATTTATTAAATAGGGAATCCTTTCCCCATTGCTTGTTTTTGTCAGGTTTGTTGAAGATCAGATGGTTATAGATGTGCAGTCTTATTTTAGGTTTTCTATCCTGTTCCATTGGTCTATGTGTTTGTTCTTGTGTCAGTACTATGCTATTTTGGTTACTGTAGCCTTGTAGTATAGTTCAAAGTCTGGTAGCTTGATGCCTCCAGCTTTGTTCTTTCTGCTTAGGATTGTCTTGGCTATTCAGGTTCCTTTTTGGTTCCATATGAATTTTAAAATAGTTTTTTTCTAATTCTGTGAAGAATGTCAATGGTAGTTTAATGATAATAGCATTGAATCTATAAATTGCTTCGGAGAGTATGACCATTTTTATGATATTGATTCTTCCTATACAGAAGCATGGAATGTTTTTCCATTTGTTTGTATCCTTTCTGATTTCTTTGAGGATTGGTTTTTAGTTATTCTTGAAGAGGTCCTTCACTTCCCTTGTTAGCTGTATTTCTAGTTTATTTTAATTCTTTTTGTGGCAATTGTAAATTGAGTTCATTCATGATTTAGCTCTCAGCTTGCCTATATATGTATAGGAATGCTAGCAATTTTTGCACATTGATTTTGTATCCTGAGACTTTGCTGAAGTTGCTTATCAGCTCAAGAAGCTTTTGGGCTGAGATGATGAGGTTTTCTAGATATAGGATCATGTAATGTCCAAGCAAAGATAGTTTGATTTCCTCTATTCCTGTTTGAGTACACGTTATTTCTTTCTTGCCTGATTGCCCTGGCCAGAACTTCCAATACTATGTTGAATAGGAGTGATGAGAGAGGGCATCCTTGTCATGTGCTGATTTTCAAGGGGAATGCTTCTGCCCATTCAGTATAATTTTGGCAATGGGTTTGTCAAATATAGCTCTCATTATTTTGCAGTATGTTCCTTTAATACCTAGTTTATTGAGAGTTTTTAACATGAGGGGGTGTTGAATTTTATCAAAGGCCTTTTCTGCATCTATTGAGATAATCATGTGGTTTTTGTCTTTAGATATGTTTATGTGGTGAATCACATTTATTGATTTGTGTACGTTGAACCAACCTTGCATCCCAGGAATGAAGTCTACTTGATTTGGTGGATAAGCTTTTTGATGTGCTGTTGAATTTGGTTTGCCAGTGTTGTGTTGAGGATTTTTGCATCATTGTTCATCAAGGATATTGGCCTGAAGTTTTCCTTTTTTTTCTTTTTTTTGGTCATATCTCTGCCAGGTTTCAGTATGAGGATGATGCTGGCCTCATAGAATTAGTTAAGGAAGAGTCCCTCCTTTTCAATTTTTCGTTATTGTTTTAGTAGAAATGGTACCAACTCTTCCTTGTACCTCTAGTAGAATTTAGCTGCGAATCTGTCTGGTCCTGGCCTTTTTTTGGTTCGCGGGCTATTTATTACTGACTTAATTTTAGAACCCATTATTGGTCTATTCAGGGATTCAGTTTCTTCCTTTTTCAGTCTTGGGAGGGTGTATGCGTCCAGGAATTTATCTATTTCTTCTAGACTTTCTAGTTTATGTGTATAGAGGTGTTTATAGTATTCTCTGGTGGTTGTTTGTATTTCTGTGTGGTCAGTGGTAATATCCCCCTTATCATTTCTGATTGTGTTTACTTAAGTCTTCTCTTTTTTCTTCTTTATTAGCCTAGCCCGTAGTCTATCTATTTTACTGATTTTTCCAAAAAACCAGCTCCTGAATTTGTTGATTTTTTGAGGGTCTTTTTGTGTGTCTCTATCTCTTTCAGCTCAGCTCTGATCTTGGTTATTTCTTTTTTCTTTTTTTTTTTTGCATTCAATGAGAATTTTTTATTTCAATTATCCACAAAACAATATTACAATACTTTATAAAAATATTAAGTTTAGGCTACCATCATTCATTTAAAAAAGTGTGCTAGAAGGCTGTTTTTGCCAACTTCCTTTTTTGGTAAGGGTTAACTTCCACATTAAGACACTGAAGACGAAAAGCTGTTGGAAAATATCTTCAAATTTACAAAGTTGTTTTTCTTGGCAATTTAAAAATACAGAACAATTTAAGTCTTCTGCTAGCTTTGGGGTTTGTTTGCTCTTGGTTCTCTAGCTTCTTAGTTGTGATTTGAAGTTGTTAACTTGAGGTCTTTCTATTTGATGTGAGCATTTTAGCACTATAAATTTCCCTCTTAACACTGCTTTAGCCAGGTCCCAGAGATTCTGCTACGTTGTATCTTTGTTCTCATTAGTTTCAAAGAACTTCTTGATTTCTGCCTTAATTTCATTATTTACCCAAGGGTCATTCAGGAGCAGGTTATTCAGTTTCCATGTAGCTGTGTGGTTTTGAGTGAATTTCTTATTCTTGATTTCTAATTTGATTGCACTTTGGTCTGAGAGGCTGTTATGACTTTTTGCATTTGCATTTGCTGAAGAGTGTTTTACCTCTAATTATGTGATCAGTTTTAGAATAAGTGCTATGTGGCGATGAGAAGAATGTATATTCTGTTGCTTTTAGGTGGAGAGTTCTGTAGATATCTATCAGGTCCACTTTGTCCAGAGCAGAGTGCAGGTCTTGAATATCTTTGTTAATTTTCTGTCTCAATGATCTATGTAATATTGTCAGTGGGGTGTTAAAGTCTCCTACTATTATTATGTGGGAGTTTAAGTCTCTTTGAATGTCTCTAAGAACTTGCTTTATGAATCTGGGTGCTCCTGTATTGGGCACATACATATTTAGGATAGTTAGCTCTTCTTGTTGAATTGAACCCTTTACCCTTATGTAATGCCCTTCTCTGTCTTCTTAAATTTTCTTTCTTTCTTTTTCTTTTTCTCTCTTCCTTTTTTTTTTTTTTTTTTTTTTTTGAGATGGAGTCTTGCTCTGTCACCCAGGCTGGAGTGCAGTGGCACAATCTCGACTCACTGCAACCTCTGCCTCCTGGGTTTGAGCCTCATGCCTCAGATTCTCATGCCTCAGCCTCCTGAGTAGCTGGGATTACAGGCACGCACTACCAAGCCTGGCTAATTTTTGCATTTTTAGTACAGATGGGGTTTTGCCATGTTGACCAAGCTGGTCTCAAACTCTTGGCCTTAAGTGATCCGCCCACCTGGGCCTCCCAAAGAATTGGGATTATAGGTGTGAGCCATCATGCCAGCCCTTCTGTCTTTTTAAAATCCTTGTTATTTAAGGTCTATTTTGTCAGAAAGTAGGACTGCAACCTCTGCTTTTTTCTCTTTTCCATTTTCTTGGTAAATTTTGCTCCATATTTTTATTTTGAGCCCATGTGTGTCTTTGCATGTGAGATGAGTCTCTTGAAGGTAGCATACTGATAGGTCTTGGTTTTTTTATCCAGCTTGCCATTCTGTGTCTTTTCATTGGGTCATATAGCCCATTTACATTTCAGGTTAGCATCGTTATGTGTGGATTTGATCCTGTCACCATGATGCTAGCTGTTTATTTTGCAGACTTGTTTATGTGATTACTTCATAGTGTCACTAGTCTGTGTACTTCAGTGTGTTTTTTTAGAGGCTGATAATGGTTTTTCCTTTCCATATTTAGTGCTTCCTTCAGGGGCTCTTGCAAGGGAGGTCTGGTGATAACAAATTCCCTCAGCGTTTGCTTGTCTGAAAATGATCTTATTTCTCCTTCAGTTATGAAGCTTAGCTTGGCTAGATAGGAAATTCTGGTTTGGAAATTCTTTTCTTTAAGAATGTTGAATATTGGCTCCCAATTTCTACTAGCTTGTAGGGTGTCTGCTGAGAGGTCCACTATTAGTCTAATGGGCTTCTCTTTGTGGGTGACCAGGCCTTTCTCTCTGGCTGTCCTTAACATTTTTTTCTTTCATTTCAACCTTGGAGAATCTGATGATTTTGTGCCTTGGGGATGATCTTCTCATGGAATATCTTACTGGGGTTCTCTGCATTTCCTGAATTTGAATGTTGGCCTGTCTGGGTAGGCTGGGAAAGTTCTCCTGCATGATATCCTGAAGTATGTTTTCAAACTTGGTTCCATTCTCCCTGTCTCTTTCAGGTACCCCAATCAGTCATAGATTCAGTCTCTTTACATACTGCCATATTTCTTGGAGGTTTTGTTCATTCTTTTTCTCTCTATTCTTGTCTGCCTGTCTTATTTCAGAAAGATAGTCTTCATGCTCTGAGATTCTTTTCTCCCCTTGGTCTATTTTGCTATTGATACTTGTGATTGAATTGTGAAGTTCTTGTAGTGTGTTTTTCAGCTTCAACAGGTCAGTTATATTCCTCTCTAAACTGGCTGTTTTGGCTGTCAGCTCCTGTATTGTTTTATCATGATTCTTAGCTTCTTGGCATTGGGTTACAACATGCTCCTTTAGCTCAGTGAAGTTTGTTATTACCCACCTTCTGAAACTATTTCTTTCATTTCAGCCACCTCAGCCTCAGCCCAGTTCTAAGCCCTTGCTGGAGAGTTATTGTGATTATTTGGTAGAAAAGGGCCACTCTGATTTTTTTAGTTTTCAGCATTTTTGCATTGATTCTTTCTCATCTTTGTGAGCTTATCTACCTTCAATCTTCTAGGTTGCTGATCTTTGGATGGGGTTTTTGTATTTTGTTGTTGTTGTTGTTGTTTTTATTTGTTTTTCTTTCAACAGTCTGGCCACTCTTCTTTAGGGCTGCTGAGGTTTGCTAGGTGTTCACTCCAGACCCCAGTTGCCTCAGTTTTTTTCCTACCTGGAGGTATCACCAGTGAAGGCTGTGAAACAGCAAAGATGGCAGGCTGCCCCTTCCTCCAGGAACTGCATCCCAGGGGCGTACTGACCTATTGCCAGCCTGAACACACCTGCAGGAGGTGGCTAGAGACCCTGGTTGGAAGGTCTTATCCAGTCAGAAGGGACAGGATCAGAGACCTGCTTAAAGAAGCAGTTTGGCTACTTTTTGGTAGCGCAACTATGCTGTGTTGGAGATCCCTTCAGCCCCGGATGAGTTTGGGCTCTCCCAGGCCCTCAGGCTGAAACAGCTGAGAAGACTGAACTTCTTTTCTTCTTTTTCTTGAAACTTGTTGGCTAGAGAAGTCTGAGATCAATCTGATTTGGTCACTCTGTGTTTGCTTATTTTATCTGCAAGATTTTTTACTTTATGCTTGAAATTTTAAAATACAGCAAGATATACCTATGTTTTTTGTTAACATTGCTCACTGTATGTTGAGTTTATTCACCTTTTCAGATTAATGCTGATTTATTCCAGCCCTGTTCAAAATAGATAACTCAACATGATGGCCTACCTCTTCTTCCCCAAGTCCCATAAACGACAACAACAACAGAAAGAAAACAATACACTGCAGCACCGGAAAGTCATGAAGGTGTCCACAGAGCTGTGGAAGTCACCACCTTAAAATCTGACAGAAGTAATTTAGTTTTCAAAAGAACCCAAGGATTAGCTTAAGATAAATAGGGGCTTTCTTTACTGGTCAAAACTCTTTCCATATGCTTTTTATTGTCTATGAAATCCTTCCTTTCTGAGCTGTGGATTGAATATCTTCTAGTTTTCTAGAGCTTCAGTATCTATCTTTAATACATGTCTCTAAAATGGAATTTCTGATAAAAGATACCCTTAAAGTTGATCCAGAGAAGTGGGAAAACGTCTGACTAGCTTATGAATATCAAGAACTGAATTCTTTAAACAATTTACTACCAAAACATTATCCTCTAACTTGTATTGTTCCTGGAGGTGGACAATGGTAATAAGATCCTACGTTTATTTTTAGGCAAACAGGAATTCCCACTGGACTGAATAAATAAACTATATCTACTACAACTATTGATGTGATTTCACATCTACAAACATGAACAGACAATAAAGAAAGCGTAACGATTGAAGAAATGTGCATCTGAAGCACATCTAACTCAACAAATAGTAGAACAAACTCTCAATAACTACAGATAATAGAGGGAATCAAATCAACTTTGAAATAATTGTGGTTAATGTTAGCTAGGGAGTTAACAGACTTTTGTACCCATTACAAAAGGAAGACTGCCATGAAAAAGAAGCAGAATTCTTAGAAATCTGAAGTATGTTTGCTTGAAAATTCTACTTGTGGGCTGACTGTCAAAATGGATATGGCTAAAGACTGAGAACTGCAAGACTGAGTAGAAATATTATAGGACAAAGTGCCAAATGAGAAGTATTTAGTCAATGGTAAGAAAGAGGAAGTAGTCAGTGGTTCCAACAGCTTTTTAACAGGGGAAACCCAAGAGATTAGAAAAAAAAGGAATGACCAAGTAAATGATAGAAGAAATCTTTTCTGAGCAGAATAAAGACATTTTTGTTATAAGAATTTAAAACAGATTAAAATAAAAACTAAAACAACAAAAGCTAAAAGGCAAACAATGCAAAATAAGAAAACCCTAATCAAGAAATAATTTGGCTGGGTACAGTGACTCACCCCTGTAATCCCAGCACTTTGGGAGGCTGAGGTGAGAGGATCTCTTGAGCCCAGGAGTTTGAGATCAGCCTGAGCAACATAATGAGACCCTGTCTCTGCAAAAAATTATTTTAAAAAAATAGGTGTGGTGGCATATGCCTGTAGCACCAGCTATTCAGGATCTTGAGGTGGGAGGATCGCTTGAGACTTGGAGTTCAAGTCTGCAGTGAGCCATGATCATGCCAACTGCACTCCAACCTGGGTGACAGAATGAGACCCTGTCTCAAAAAAAAAAAAAAAAAAAGAAAGAGAGAAGCATTCTAAGCAAATTTTCTTAAAGAGAAAAGCATGCAATTTTTTTTTCAGAGGGAAAAAGAATTTATAAGAAATAAGAAGAAAAGAAAAATAATTCAATGGGATGCTAAAAGACAATAGAGAATGTCTTCATAACTGTGAGGGAAGATGTTTATAAAACCAGAGTTTTATGCCTGACCAAGATAGAACTCCACAGCAATCTGAAATAATTATTTTGTGATATTCTCATGTCAAATAATGGTTTGGTTCATTTGGGGACTTAAACATAACCTAAAGGACTGAGATTCTTTCTCTTTCCCTTTCTGCCATCTTCAGAAGGGGGCTTGTCCTCAGATTAGAAGATAGTTGGAAGATGGCATCAACTTTTCTGGATTATGATATCTGGTTAGAACAACACTTAGTGGAAAAGGAGAGTCTGTGTCTTCGTGTGTGTGTGTGTGTGTGCACGCGCGTGCACTTGCATGTGTGTTTTAAGCCATAAAGATATTTCCCAATAACCCCCAAGTAGATTTAGCTTCATAAGACAGAAATAGCATCACATGACCAAGATTAAACCGATCACAGTTTAAAGGAGTGAGACTTGACTTGAACCAATAACAAATAATTCCCTTGGGACCTGCCTGCCTTGAAGCATGTGTGTGTGTAGCAGAGAATGAATACTTAAATGAAAGCAAAGTTCTTTTACAAAGGGTGGGAAGAGAGACATATGAATGCTGACAGAAAATATTCAAGCTACTAAAACAATAAATAAAGATTCAATAAATTGTACTGAATTAGATTTTAAAAACTAGTATTAAAGCACAAAAAGAGCAATAGCAATAAGGCATAAAAAATTTAAAAAGTAATATGTCAAGAATAAATTGAACATATCAGTGAACACAGTACGTATAAATGGATCAAATTCAACTTTTAGTACATATTTAGTATGGGTTAAAAAAGAATACACACACACACACACACAATTTTGAAGAGAATTACCTAAAAGAAAATACCGTTATATTTCACACACACACACACACACACACACACACACACAATTTAGAAGAGAATTACCCAAAAGAAAATGCCGTTATATTTCATAACAAAGTTCACTTAAAAATAAAAAAAATTTAAATGACATAGAAAGTTTAAAAATAAACAGAAGAATGCTAATGAAAAGAAAGTGGATATGAAATAAACTGTACATGATGCAACCTACCAAGGAGCTAGGAGGTAAAATAATGAATTTTTATGTTGGAAATAATGTAGCATCCAATACATAGAAAAATGTTAGGATTTCAAAGAGTAAAAGACTTCAAGATGGTTATCTGAGTATTCAAAAGGTCAATTTCACAAATAGTATATAAATAAGGATTTAGAATTTAACTAACACAATAAATAAAATAAACATGCATAAACTATGTGCACACATTTTTCAAATGTGTATACAAAAATACATAAAAATTGTCCTTGAGTACATGGCAATTACTGTGTACCAGGTACTATTCTAAGCATAAGTCTGTACTCTTAACCATTATGCTAGCCCACAAAGACATGTTAAATAAATTCTTCAAAGCAGAAGTCATATTGTGTGTGATTTCTGACCACAGTGTAATATTAGGAGATAGGATCAAACAAAAATAAAAATATCAATTGACTTAATCATTTTAAAACACTCAATAAATAATTCTTGGGTTAAAAGGAAAATAAAAATTCAAATAAATTATTTCGAAATGAAGCATGATAGCATTACAAATAAAATCTCTATGATTTGGACAAAATTATTGCGAGAGAAGAAAATTATGACCTTAAATTTTTTATAAGGAAAGATGATAACTGAATGGATTATTCAACTCAATGAGCTGGAAAAAGAATAAGAAAGTAAACAAAATGAAAATAAGAGAAAGTTAATAAACATAAAAGCAGAAATCCATGAACTAGAACACAAACCACCAGACTTAAAAACAGAACACTTGATTAATAAGACTAAAAACTGTTTCTTTGAACAAATAAAATACACCAATTTTTGGCAAGTTTGACTAAGAAAAATAGACTTTAAAAATAACATTATTATAAAGAAATACTGCAGAATTATGGATATAGACTAGATTTTAAAAGAAAATTTATTTCTCAAGAAATATAAATTGCCAAGAGCCTCCAAAAGACACAGAAGTCTAGATTAGATCAGCAATCATAAAATAAATTAAAAAGCTAGTCAGAGTTCTGTCCTTGAATAAACATCAGACCTGGATAGTATATAAAAGAGACTTACCAACGTCTTTCCTATCATGTACACTCTATAGCCCTTGAATACAGATCGGAAACTTCTCCACTCATTTTATAAGACAAAACTATTATGATACTAAGATTAGGAATATAGAAACAAATAGATCTATCTCACTTCTGAAGACAGTGAAAGGTTCTGAAAGAATAAAACTGAACAACTTAAATCCAACATTGTATACATAACAATGAAGTAGGATTCCAAGTAGGGCTGGTTTAAGTTTAGGAACTCTAAAATGTAGTTGGCGACTTTAACTAGTTACAGAAGAAAAACCACAGGATCAACTTGAAAGACTCTGAATGAAGTATTCCTGAGCTCAATCTAAGATTAGAGGAAAACTCCTTTGCCTTGATAAGAATATCTATTAGGAAGATTTCACCAATAGGGTGAAAATTAAAAGGATTCTAGTTACCTGAAAACAAAAATAATAGCAAAGGTGATAATCACTGCCACAGAGGGCAAACCATGGGCAGGTATTTACTGTTCTAATAATTTTCTCACATGTTATCTGATTGACTCTTTGCAATGTCACTCTGTGGCAGATGCTATTATTATTAAAACAACAATATTACAAATGATGAAATGAAGCTAATGAGGTCCTTCTATTTATTTAATCGTTAACATTGTATTGATATCTTAGGCAATTCAGTGAGATGGGAAAAAATAATTAGGTATGTAAGATCCCAATTTTTGTCACAGATAAAGTGAACATCAATTGGAACATTCAAGAGTCAACTGAACAGTATTATAAAAAGTGGGTTCAGTAATGTGATCACTGTTCCACAACTGGGATTTTCCTTACTTCTTAAATAATTAACTAGAACAAAGTAATGGGGGAAAAATCAGTTTAAAATAACCATGAAACCTATAAAGCCTAAAATATATAGGGGTAAATTGAAAAAAGCCGTGCAAAGCCTAAATGATGAAAGCTACAAAAGCCCATGGAAAGACAGAAAAGTAAATTTAGACTCCTTTTTAAATTATTGTCATTTGATCAGATGTTTCATCTCTTACTTTAAAGAGATCATGTCTTCTTGAATGTCATCAGGAACATGAAAAAAGTTACTTTCTAAAACTTAGCGCTTTTTTTCAGTAGCTAACCTTTGCCTAACACACTTCTCTTCTGATTTAGTCACTATCTTCTGCCTTATTTTATGTTTCAAATTCCTTTCATTTGTGTGTATGTGTGTGTGTGTGTGTGTGTATAGTAATAGCCATTTTTGTTGTTCTTTTGCTGATTCGTCCTCCTTGAATAGGAAGAAAATGTCTCTCATTGGTGTGCTTTGCAGCCCTCCTGGTTGGTATTGGCCTCTCTCTGATTTGAAGTTTAAGGAGGTGTTTGCTGTGCACATCCTGAGCTTAGTGTGCAGTGCTCAGGCCTTATTTATCTGGCATGGCTCTCCTGGGCTGTGGAGATTCGTGACAAGATGCTCAGGATAATAATTGCTGAGTACATTAATGCATCCTGTAGGCTTCTCTGTCCAGTGGAGCTGCGGGACTATCTAACTAGAGTTTACAGTGCTCCACTCTTACAATCTCCTGTGTTTGCCCTTTCAGAGGATTGAATTTCTCTCAGGATGAAATCCTCCATCACATGCCAACTTTTGTCTTCAAAAGACAATATGGAAAGATAAAAATTAAATGATGGAAATTGAGATGTAGAAAATTGTAGGAAGAATGCTTTATCTCCCCTTGTCTTGTGGAGAACCCTGTTTCTGAGCTAGATGGAGGCCATTCTGAGTAGGTGAAAACCCCTTCGTTCTGCCTCAGAACCTTTCAATTAGTCACAGGCAGGATGCGGTGGGAATCTGATGTAGATAACTGGTCATTCCTCAAAGATTACAGTGCTATGAAACTCTTAACCTTTTCAGGATTTAATCAATATTTCAATAGGAAGATGAGGGTAAGTGAAATAGAACAGTTTTTCTTCATATTTAGTTACTATTTTTGGTTTAGACATAAGATTATGTTATTTTCCAAATATAAAAGCAATGTATATTCATTAGATAGCATTTGGAAAACAGAAGAGTGATGGAAAGAAGACACTCAAAATCCAGCCACAGAAAAGAAAATTACAAGAGCATTTTTATTTATATTCTTTGATGTTTTTCCTGTATCTAATTTGTTCATAGCTTTGATCATATAATATAAACAATTTTTTATATCCTATTTTTTTACTAATCATTGTACACATATTTTACCTTGGTACCAATGATTCATTAACATCATTTTAAATAAAGTATGTTTTATGAGGTTAGGAACTTTACCTGCTATGTTCATAACTGTATCCAGAAGACAAGCATGATACCTGGCACATGAGAGGGAATAAATAAATATTTTTGGGAAAAATTAATTACATAACATTCCTTTATTTAATCATTGACTAGCTGTTGAACATTAATATCATTTTACTTTTTCTATTATTAATAATTTTCTATTGAACAAATCCAGGTAAAGGAGTTTACTTCTCAATTTTACTGTGTTCCTTGGCATAAATCCTCAGAAGTTTAATGTTTATGGAACGGTGTAAACATTGGTAAGCCTCTTGATATAAAAATAAAATATTAATAACATTTAATTTGATATTTGATATCAATCAGGTTTTTTTGAGAAAAAAAAACTGAGGAGTTTTTTCTTCATAATGAATCATTGTGATTTTTTATAAATATTGTGGATTATAACATTATTAGGTACCTTTCATTATTTCAAATGTTAAAACAAATTACAAAGCTACTTTAAAGTTTTTTAAATTTACATTAGTTTTATCTAATTCTTTCATTATAGTAATCAAAATTTGGCTCAACATGTTGAAATTAAATAAATGGTAGTTTATTCTTGGCTAAAAGAAGAAAATTTTCAAACAGCCTTACATTAACTCCCAAAAGATGTTTATTTGCTTTCATAACACATTCTATGTAACACTGAAGGCTAACTGGAAATGTAATTAATGTCTATTTTTAACATTCTCAATATAATACATTGAACAAATGAAAATACCCATAAAATGTTATAGAGGTAGATGAAAAATAATTTGGCTTTTACCAGTCTGAATTCTATTTTGCCATATGCTGGTGAATGCATCACTATGTAATTAATATAAAACTATGGTATTTTTTAAATCTATGTGAGCTAGAACTTCTGGGCTGTTGGGGAAAGGATATTTATTAACATGAAGTAAAAATAAGTAATCATCTAAATCTGTAATCCAATCAGTGCCATGAAAAAATAAAATCAAACCAGTCAATAGATCTGGGGAGAGGTTTTCTTTTTGCATTTGAAGGTGATATTTATGAACTATCATTGGTATATCAGACACTTGGATTGTTTTTCCAATATCACTGATAGATTTGTGGTCTTGCTCATTCATAAAACATCTGGTTGGAGTTAAGGGATTCAGTCTGTGGCCACAGAACAGAGGGAATCTATGAACCCTCAGATGTATTAAATCCAGCATTTAGCTGTCAATTAGTGCAGTGCTCTGGCCAACAGAATACCTAAAAAGATCAATGACTGACTTTTACATTTTTCAGACAGAAACTTTGGCATAATATACAGTAGAGGTCTGTGTCTTAGTAGGTATATTCCTTTGAAGTTTCTCTGTTAATATATTTGCTGGAGGGGAACAACTCCTCATGACTTCATTTTGGTTATGGAATAGTCCAGCTCTTTCTAGAACATTAGGTGGCATGTAGTTCTTAAAGATATAATGGTGAAAATTTTTAGGTATTCTTTCTCCTTATAGCTATATAACTGGCTAAAAAGTTAATTTTCAAACATCCTTACATTAACTCCAAAAGATGTTTATTTCCCTCCACAAAGATTCTGAGCATAACACAGAGATCTCCCCATAGATATAGATAATATAGATATAGATATAGATATAATCTATAGATATAGATAGAGTTAGCTAAAATATATTGTGAATGCCACAAAATGTAGTGCAAGCCCAAACATGTTAAAAAAAATTCACTTTCAAAGCCTGATAATCTAAGGCAGGGCTGCTCTGGCTGAGCCAGGGCCTGGTCAAGGCAGAGCTGGGAGCCTGTAGGGTGATGAGTCTCTTCTCTGAGATGTTGACTCTGAGGCTCTCCTAGGCAAGATGGCTTCTGCTCATACTTTGTGGTTTGCAAGGCAGGAAGTTTTGACGGTAGTTGCATGGATCATTGGAAACAGAACGTACTACCATTGCCAATCCAGGCAAAGAGAAGGGCTTGGCAATTTTGTTTTAGTACACAAGATTGAGCAATCTGATTGGTTTTAATTTTTTGCAGTGTGAATTAGAAAAACTCTCTAATACTGGGGAAAATAGGAAATGACCCATTGTTTTAAATAGTTTTTGAAATACTTCCATGAGATGTATTTTTGTTTGTCTTTTAGGAGATCTTTGAACTATAAAAAGATGAACTTTTTCTAATTAAAGTGTGTCTGCCTATCTTGATGGCTATTTATGCTATTGGATTCAATTGTATCGCTGCTATTGCTGATAGTACAGGAACTTATGGGTTTTGAAAGCTCTTCGGTGCATGACTTGGCTTTGTTGGCTTCTCATATTCTATTTAAAGAGATATTTAGGAATTACCAAATTATATAAGACTTTTGGGAGCAAAGAATTTTTAAAGTGAAGGCTCAAAAAAATTGGACAAAGGCACTAAAATAACTATGATATTCTAAATAATTATATGGAAGTAAAAATGATGTATATTTGATTTATGCTTGAAAACAAAACATAATTACTTCTCTTCTTCAATTTTAATCTATATAAGTCCATCAAAATTTTAGTCATTTCCCCTGCTCATCTATATTAGTTATCTATTGCTGTATAACAAAATATTATTAAATTTAGTGTCTTAAAACAACCCCATTTATTATTGCAGTTTCTCTGGGCCAGGAATCCAGGCACACTTGGCTGGGCCCTTTGACTTTCAAGGTGACATCAGGGCATGGACTCACAACATGCATTTCATCAGAACAGCAAGTAAGGAGAACCAGAAAGAGAGAATGCTATCAAGATGGAAGTAACCATCACTTACAACCTAATCTCAGAAGTAAATCCATCACTTGAGCCATATTTTATTGTTAGAAGTGAGTCACTGTTTCTAGCCAACACATTTAAGAGGAGGAGATTATAGCGGGGCAGGAATACCAGGAGGCGTGGATCGTTGGGACCCAGCTTAGAAGGTTCACAACCACACTGTCTGATGAATTCTTGGTGCTCTAAACCTGATTTTATCCACCTCTCTGAAGGAGATTCTGAGGGTCAGCTACAATATGGCATTGGGTGTTTTAGTGTGTTAACGTCTTAAATTTACACTTTATCTTTTACATGCATGTTAAAAGCTTAAAGGTAACCTGTAAAATACTTGAAATATAATAAAAAATGTCAAGACTGTAACACAGATACTGAGTTGCCATATAGGGTTTTGAACTTCACACTACATCCTATTTTCTTATCCCAGAGCCATATAGAGAAAGTCCAAAACCAATCCAGTTTTATATATTGAAATTTTTTTAGGATGATCAATGGAACAGCTAAATGACTAGTTGTGAATGGCTTCAGACAACTTTTTTGTATATGCATGTAATACTAATTTTAACTTATCTCATGGTTCCTGTTTTTAGACAAAGCTATGAGAAAAGAGCAGTGGTCACCTATTATGTCTTAGGCACTGTGTGCCTACACTGCTGTCTTGTATAATCCTCACATATATCCTCTAAAATAAGTATTGGTTTATTTTACATAGGAGGAAACTAAACCTTTAGGAAGTTATTAACTTGGCTAAGTTTAAAAGCTTGCAGTGTTGAAGATGCAATTCAAACAAGATATAATTAAGTCCCTGCTCTCCCTCCTCTCCTGCAAGTCTAGGCTTTTTGTATTATAATTTACTTCCTCTCTGAAAAAGTAAAAGACGGGGAGGGACAAAGAATCAGTATTTTCTGAACATGTACCCTATTCCATGTATTGTTCTAAATTCTTATCTATCTTAATTTATCTCCAAAAGGCCTCATGAAGTAAATATTAGTATTCCTAATTTAAAGATCAGAAAACTGTGTCAATTTGATTTTGCTTTTGTATATGTAAATGTATATATTCATATATGTGCATATATGTGTGTATGTATGTATATATATATATACCCATACACACACACACACATATATATATAGACATGTTTTAAAAACCGTGAGAATTGCCCTGCATTCTAACATACTTAAAATACTTAAATGACTTTGAGTCATTAAGGAAATACTCTTTTTTAAATATTATCTGGGCACTTACAAATGGATAATATGTGAATACTATCTATGGTGGTTCCTTGTTAATCAGAGTGCTGAATTAGAACATATTACTGTGGTTACTATGTGTAGCCTGCAATAAATGCTGAATAATCTGACCACCCCAAGCCTCATCATAGTTGAAAAAAAAATGAGTCAGCTTGAGGTAAAATAATGAGTTAAATAAAAGTAGGAGATTTTTGTCCACTTTTTTAGAAGATTCTCTTCTACTCAAAGTAGGGGCCATAAAAGGAGGCCAAGAAAATATATGCCCTACATCACTTTCCCTTGGCCAATGGATATGCCCATCCTGAGAATATGTATCTATTCTATGAGCACCCATTTTTATGTGCATTAGACAAGCATTCATACTTTCCCACAGCCAAGGCCTGATTTTCTCAGCCAGTCTGAATCTGTAAAGTCAACTAATTTTTCATAGTCAAGTGACAGTTCCTTTTAACTGTGACTCATTCCTTTTAAACACACAAATAAGTTTGAAAATTTGTTCATAATGAGTTTCTAATGAAAAGACACAATTGTACAATTTGATTATTATATAAACATACTAAAATATATACATAAAACAAAATATTTCATAAGGTACTAAGTTAACTATTATATATACATCAGATGTGAAGATGTTATCACATAATTTTTTAGTAGTTTTTGGTTGGTTGGTTGTTTTATAGCACTTGGAAGAATTTATTATTTCCTTTCTTTAAAATATTAAACTTTTTTTCGAAGTGGCTTTTGCCTTTATTAGGGTTTTATGCATTTTACTGAGGGTTGTGTTTTCTTTTTAAAATTAATTCACTATTATTTTCCCCTTCCTGCTCCAGTTAACTGAGTCATTTGTAATTTTGTCAGATTTATTTATCTATCCAAGGCACCAAATTTATCCTTAAGTCATTCCTTTAAACAGCAAAAGAGACCAAAAAAGAAAACATTAAAGGACTCAAGTGCTCTTACAAAGAAACTGCCAGTTTGGTCAACAAAATTTAAACTTCCAGTAAAAACAAAAAACTCTCTGAGGTGTAGACCCCAATGGCTAAGAAAAACCACAAGTTCAACTTGACCTCACCAAAAGCATTTATACTTTTAGCCAAACTTATTAAAAACAAAATTCATTTGAAAGGGAGAAAAACATGCTACTGGGTTTCATAACATCAAGATGACAGGCTACCAAGGGATTTTATTTTTAATACTATTGCCTACTAAACACTTCTCAAAATCTGTTTTTCTTTCAAGTTCTTTTGTTTCCCACTTTTCAGCTACTCCTAGAATAGGCTGTCTACCCTTGTGACTAGAAAACAAAACATCAGTTCTGATAACATTCCATTTTCAGGAAGTATTTCTTTTTTTATTCATATTAGAAAGTAAAGATTTTCCCATCTAGTCCTAGGATGGCTGATAAACCAACATTAGAGCGAATGCTTTGAAAAGACAATAGCTGACCAATGCTCTCACCTTAGGAAAGTCTAAAATGGTTCAAAGGCAGAGTCTAAACTTAAGATGGTATGCTTCTTTCTGAAACCTGGCTTTTCTTTTGTGTTATGTGGGGAGAAATGTTATTTTAAAGTTGTTTGCATTTAATAGGCTATGGCTGGCAGCTGGAGGAAGCAAAGTCACTCATGGCCAAAAGGAAAAGGATTTGGCAGGACTTGTGAAGTTCACAGTCAGTACTGAGGGTCCTGAAATAGAATTTTCTACAAGAAAAGCTGTGACCATCACCACTCCAGTGGCACTGCAAATTAGGTGGAGATGTACCCAATTCTAACATTCTCTTTTCTGACCTACACTTTCTAATCAGTAGCCAGTATTGAGATGACACTCTCAAATGAAGGGAAATGGGTGAAGGCTGGGCATTGGTGGCTTTTGGTGGCCATTCAGGAGATATCTGAGATGTTGAGATGTAATCTGAACAGTAAGTTTGAGGTGGGTTATGAAGAGCCTTTATTTATAGACTAAGATTTCACCTAATCACATAGAAGATTGGAAGACATGTTCATTTGTATGGCTCAGAATGAAAAGCCCTCTTCCACCTTCTTGGGAAACACAGCTAGAGAATGGTATATAAGATACTGGATGGCCTTCTCCTTATCTCTTACCATAGGATAACATTTCAGATCTTCTGTCTTAGCAACACAAGAACAACAGGAAGAATTAAGAAAACAATTCTGACCTATGTGCAGGGAGACCTAGAAAGGTGAGATGTTAACTTTTGGGAATAGCAAAGATGTCTTGAGCAGGAGGGCAGTTAAATGAAGAAATTACATAGGGATACAGAAGAACTTATTTACTTGTTGATTATTAAAAATAAATAAAATAATGTGATCTGCAAACCTTAATGGAGCAGCTACTATGTAAAGCTCTGAGGTATTTGCTGTTAAAGGTTTATGTTTAAATATTGCTGATGACAGTGAACCTACCATTTCTAAGACCTTGAAGATTATATTTCTTCTTAAAATGTCAAAAATATAATGTAATATCTGTACCTTAGGTTCTTCTATGATCAATGAGAAAGGAATTTTGTATTTTTATGAGGGGATATCACAGCTCAAGTCTTCTCTATTGAGATTTCTCTGAATATCTTAAAGAATAAATGTGGTGGATAATTTTAATGTGACCATGGTGGTTCTGAGAAACACTACATGATCTATGTATAAATCAGAACAATTCTTTTAATTGGCACAAAGTTTCACAGATAATTTTTATATGGTGCAGAAACCAAATTTGAGCTTGTAAACTATTACTATGTGCTAGAAAGATATATATATATATATATATATATATTTACATTTATTTGAAGGAAGCATATTAGTTAAACATTATTCAAAAATCCTCCCTGTATTTCCCTTCTCTTACTCACACTAAATTATCCTTACGTCTTATGGGGTAGTAGATGCTAAAAGAGGAAACTTCTATGGGTTTTATGGTGTAGCTCTCAGGTGTAAGTTATTTAAAAGGCAGTCTTGGTATAATCTTATATCATATTAATACCTGTTTAATTCTCTTCAGAGATGCAAAAATAAGTTGGGGGAAATCCATCTGAGAGTGAGCAGGAAAAATGGATATACTTGAATAAGGTTCCAGAATTTCAGCATACCTCTAAATGTGTCTATTGCCATAATTGTCAATACAAGTAATCTTTGATTGTACACCAGATCTATTTTTCATAAAATATTTGCAATTGATTATTTCTGAATGTTGAAAGATATAAATCTTCTGTAAAAATCAAGTTCTATGAATGCAAAGATATTTTCTCTTTTATTCTCTGATGTACTTCAAGTACCTAGAATAGTTTCTGACACGTATTAGATATTCAATAAATATTTGCAGAAGAACAGTATAAATAAACAAAAGGGCCGGGCGCGGTGGCTCACGCCTGTAATCCCAGCACTTTGGGAGGCCGAGGCGGGAGGATCACCAGGTCAGGATATCGAGACCATCCTGGCTAACATGGTGAAACACCGTCTCTACTAAAAATACAAAAAATTAGCCAGGCGTGGTGGCGGGCGCCTGTGGTCCCAGCTGCTCCCGGCATGAACCCGGGAGGCGGAGCTTGCAGTGAGCCGAGATGGCGCCACCGCACTCCAGCCTGGGCAACAGAGTGAGACTCTGTCTCAAAAATAAATAAATAAATAAATACAAAAATAAAAAATAAATAAATACATAAAATAAAGAAAAGGAGATTTAACTGGAGCAGAATCCCATAATAATTTTCTACAAATGAAATAATAATTTTTACTTTAAAAAACAAATCTAGATTTTCAGTAATCTGGTTTATTTAAAAGAAGTTACAACTGTAGTAAAGGATATTTGGTGTTTTGTCTCTGTTATTTTCTGATTTTGATAAAAATCTCCTCAAAATTAAGGAATAAAAGACAATTGGAAAAATAATGCTTTGTAAAGGTTGCATGCCAGTTCTTAAGCTCTTATCTCTTATCACCAATGCCCCACTTCTATACTCTGTTTTATGACTCTGGGGCTGGGACTCTGCCAACCACATTTCTGCCTGGGCAGCTGGTTCTCTGTTAGGCTCAGCCAATAGGGGATGCTAGAGGGAGGATGGGAGGCAATTACTTCCTGTTTATATTCCCATTCCTGTTAGTGCACATCACCGTCTTAGGAACTTCCTGTCTGTTCCCTGTTCTTGTGAGCATCTTCCTAGTAACACTTCTTCACCTTGACAGTGCCTTTCCATAGCAGCACATGAACGCAGTCTGCAGATTATCTAACACTAATAGAACCAGCCTTATCGGACACTCAGAGACACCAACACCAGCCAAGCGTTCCTGCTCAGAAGTTTGAATTTCATCTCCACAGGGCCACTACTCCAATCTAATACGTTTAACACAGCAGTTCTCCCTTATCCATGGTTTCACTTTCTAAACCTTCAGTTACCTCTGGTCAACAGCAGTATGAAAATATTAAATGGAAAATTTCAGAAATAAACAATTTGGAAGTTTTAAATTGCACACCACTCTGAGTAGTGTTTAGAAATTTAACAGGTGAATCAGCTCTTTGTCCAGCACATGCATGCTCTCTATACTCGCCGCTCATCAGTCACTTAGGAGCCTTCTCCGTCATCAGATGGACTGTGGTGGTATCATAGTATTGTGTTCAAGTGACCCTTATTTTAGTTAATAATGGCTTCAAAGTGCAAGAGGAGTGATGCTGACAATTCATATATGCCAAAGGGAAGCCGTAGAGTACTTTCTTTAAAGAAAAAAGTGAAATTTCTAGACTTAATAAAAAAAAGTTATATACTGAGGTTGCTAAGATCTATAGTGGAGTTAATCTTCTATCCATAAAATTGTGAAGAAGGAAAAAGAAATTTGTGCTAGTTTTTCTGTCACACCTCAGACTGCAAAAGTGATGGCCACAGTGTGTGATAAATGCTTAGTTAAGATGGGAAAGGTATTGCATTTTTGGGTGGAAGACATAACAGAAATGTGTTCCAGTTGATGGCAATAGGATTTGATATTATCCATGGTTTCAGGCATTCACTGGTGGTCTTGGAACTGATCCTTTGAGAATAAAGAGGTGAATACTGTTAATTCCAGCCTCTTGCCTTTATTACCTCACCGCGAGGTATGATAGCTTCTTTCTACAGTTGTTTCTACTATAACTTACTGTTCCCTTGTTACTCTTTCATTTATTTAGTGAACAACTTTATAACCAGTTAATAATTCTTTATATAAAATTCTGTCCAAATAACTAGTGTGATTTATGTCTCCTAATGAGGCCCTGACTTGCACAAATTGGTTTTTCTAAGTCTCTTTGATTTCTTTAGTTTGTACATGCTACTTGATTAAACGCCAACAAAAAGCCAATTTTTAAAACATCATAAGATTTGATGTCAGCAAAATTCAAAATAAATGGAATGTCCTGAATGCTTCTACCATCTTCCCTGGCTCTTTTTTTTTTTCTTGCCTCATCCTATCTCTTTCTTTCTTCCTCCTCCTTTTACGTTCTTCCCTCTGGGTGTTGTTTCCCTCAATCCTTCCTCTACTCACTTTGCAAATTTTATCTTACCCTATTGTCACCGACCCAGTACATTCCTCATCTTCTCTTCTATTCAAGATACCTTGAGCTCAGTTCTTTCACTCTAATTCATCAAACACAAGTTAGGTCCTTTATCCCACGGAGGACAGAGAGAAGCTGAAGTTCCTACACATTAGAACAAGAGTAATGGGAAATTAAATGTCTATCCGCAACAGTGGAGAGGCTTTAATTTTGTCAGGGTCCTTTGAGATATCTTTCAATGAAACCTTATCAGTGGCCATCTGGTTAGCTTACAACTAAGACCTAACCCCAGCTTATACCTAAGGAACTAATCTCTTCCTATTTTCCCTTACCTTTGGTGGCAGATAACAGAAGAAAGCAACATTCTATCCTGTCAGACAGCAGGAAGAAACTGTGGCTGGATGAGCCCCTAGCTAAGAAATACAAACTCATCCAGCTATTTCCTCAGCAAAACTGCCAGAATCATACTCTCATCTTAGTTTCTTGGTTCCCATCGAGCCTTCCTTATTGCTCCATGAGTGCCGGGGTTTCTATTCCTCACCAACACCCGCAAATGAGAATTTTCTTTCAGATCCCAACTCTTAAGGGTATTACTCTCAGCTAGCTTTCACATAAGAATAATTTGCTTTCCTAATCTGTTCTAAGGTGTTATCAGTTTTATATGTTAACTCTTCCAAGAATATTTGTATTTTAACAGAGTATGCCCAGAAACCTGCTGTCTTAACGCAAATCGTAAGAAATTGTAAGAGGTGAATTTTGGCCATGAAACAGGAGCTGATTTGGGATACTCTTTACAGAAGATATTTCTTCATTCTCAAATCAATCAACCTAAGAGGGAGGCCAGTCTAAACTGGACTTCTACTCCTGGAATGCAGCTTTATGGATTGGAAAGTTTAAACATCCTATAAATATATAAATAAAGACAAAATAATGTGCTTTTACATCTTACTAGAGATACATTTTAAAAGACAATAACAATATAAGAAAAATAGTCTGTAGCTTATTATGGTGGAGTGTAAATCAATGTAAGGTGAATTTATTTTTATTATGCTAATTGCCTAGAATTCATGGTCTCAGCCAAGAAACAGTCTGTTTTTCATTTGCTCACTGACACAATTTGACAAATAAAAGTTTGGTTGTGGATCAGAATGGAGCTAGAAATAAAACAGCAATGGCTATTATAAGATACTTTTGGGGGGATGTTTGCAATGACTATTACTTAATAGCATGTGCTATTTTTTAATTTTTAAGAAAAGCCTATTTCTGAACCAAAAAAATGGTTGTAAGCTTATTATTAAAATTGTCCTTACATACATTTCCTAATATAGTCATGCAGACTCATAAGTGTCTCACAGTTGTGTTTCACCACCAAGTATCAGAACTTTTTAAACTGCACTGTGGCTTCATTTCTGAGAAATGTTCTCTTTTTCTTGACGTTTATGGTATCAGGTAGACTAAAGTAGTTTTAGAGGACTGACACCTGAAGGTCATGAAAGGCAAAGACAAGAACTGACCTACTTAAAGCGGAGTTTTTACCACCAATTTCTCACTTTCATCTACTTGGCAGAATCCTTTGACTTCTAGAGTACAAATGTGGGAAAATTATCTATCTTAAAACTTCTTTGAGGTTTCATGGATGGTTTCGCCAAAATTTTACTTAGCATTCTAGGCACTCATTCTAAGATCTAGTGGGAGAAAAACAGTTCTCTCTCTTTCAGAATGTCTCCTGAAATCTGTGTAGCCTGTATAAAAGAAGACATAAAATGCAAGGTGTTGAAATGTAAGCACTATGGATAATAAATGAGGGCCGATGACAGCATAAGAAGACACACATTTTATGATGAGAAATCTCTGCTCTTCAGAGGAATGGTTTCTGTGTATGCATGCACATACACATACATTTGAAATTCCAGAAAGGAAGCCGAACATCTGGTCACTTCATTCTAGTATTTCTTAATTTATAAGGATATGAAAATTTGAACATCCCATATCAGAAAGTCGTCAATCTGTGATAAGTTTCTCATTCTCTTTGACTGAACAGTTTTCTTGTGAATATGACTTGGAACTATTATTATGGAAGTTTCATTTGTGACTCACTAGAAAAACATAGCTCTGAAGTGAATATGTAGTCCATTTATGACATTAAGCCTAGCATCCGGCTCACAAAATCTATTGCTGTCGTTGCCGCTTAATTCAAGATTCTGTGAACTATGTATGTTTCACATGGCCTACAAAGAAACTTCTCTGAAAGTAACAAATATAAAGTTTGAAGAGTTTTCAGGATCTTTGCTAACCTTTGTGGTTTCAATATGCCAACATATCTTCCTTAACTGTGGCCCACTCATTCTTTTTTGAATAGAGAGAAGTTAATATGCTAAACTGTGTGAGAAGTATGACATAAATGAAGACTCTCCCCTGTCATTGTACAAATATCTTAATTAGTTACTTGGCTGTGCATATTTTACTCATGTTCAGGCACTATATAGTGAGAAAAAAGTGTACTGAGAGTAAGGAAACTAATTCATAGATATTAACGAATACATTTCATATCCAAAATCTGTTTAATCAGCCACAATTGAAAATGATGGAACTGCTGACAAATCCATTCCCTTGCAGTTCTAAATATTAAAATCCGAAGCATTTAATTAAAGATAATAAATACGGAAAAAAATAGACAATATGGAAAGCATGTAGAAGCTATTGAAGGAAACACTTTAAATTCTACCATATATAAGAAAGCACAGTCAATATTTTATAAATGTTTTTCTACACTTCTCTTTATGATTGAACACCTAACTCTATATACATAGAGTACACTATCTGTATTAGTCCTTTCTCCCATTGCTAGAATGAAATACCTGAGACTAGGTGATTTATAAAGAAAAGAGATTTAATTGGCTAATTGTTCTTCATGTTGTAGAGGAGGCACAGTGGCTTGTGCTTCTGGGGAGGCCTCAGTGAGCTTCCAAGCATGGCAGAAGGTAAAGTGGTAGCAGGTGTCTTAGAAGGTAGGAGCAAGACTGAGAGAGAAAGGGGAATGTTCCACACACTTTTAAAGAACCAGATTTCATGAGAGCTCACTCACTATACAGTACCAAGTGAGGGCTGGTGCTAAACCATTCAAAAGAACTCCACCCCCATGATGCAGTCACCTCCCACCAGGCCCCACCTCCAACACTAGGGATTACAACTGAACATAAGATTTGACTGGGGACACAGATCCAAACCACATCACCATGTAATATATGTTGCTCTCAAATCTTCTTTTTTTATTGTATGTATTTAAGGTGTACAGCATGATATTTTGATATACATACAATGAAATTTCTCAAGCTTTCTTTTTCTATTTAAAATAAGTCAAAAAAGAACTTTCCATATTAGTGAATCTACATGTACAACATCTTTTTAAAAAAGATACAGATAATTCTAGTGTATGGATGTACAACAATTATTTAACATTTCCTCTTGTTAGATAATTAGATTCTTCTCAGTTTTCCTTCTCATAAACCCCATTGTGATGAATTTTTTTGTGCTCCTGCTTTTATACATATGTGCATGATTTATTGTTCCCTTGGAGTAAATAATCAAAAGAGAGATCACTGGGCCAAAGGATATGTATATTTCTAATATATATTGCCAAATTGCTCACCACAAGGTTTAGTAAATTCACTTTCCCACCAGCAAGGTAGGAGAGTGTGATTTTTTTTTTCAGCCTTACCAACAATCGGTATTTTACTGAGAATTGAGAACCTGCCATTTAAAAGGTGTTAATTCATTGTTTTTTACTTGCAGTTTCCCTATTATTAGTGAAGATGAACATCTTCTCATATGTTTTGATCTATCATTTTCCTCACTTCTTAATTGCCTGCTTATATGCTTAGCCCACGTTTTTTTTTTTTCTATTAGGATTTTGGTATTTATTCACACTGATTTACAAATCAGATATTAGTTTTTGGTAAATCTATTACAAATGTCTTCCCCAAGACTTTTATTTGTCTTTCAACATTGTTTATAGCGCGTTTGATGATAATGGAGTGATTTTCTTGAAGCACCTTCCTTGTGATCTATACTCCTTGGCAATACGGTGATGATACGTTGAACATCAAGGATTTAAGAATTTGGGAATTGAATTGAGTTCCTAGCCATCTGAGATGCACAAAGTCAGGAGAAAAAATTCTCCAGAAATAGGCATGGCTCACTTCCCATATTTGCCTAAAAAGTGTTCGCTGCTTGGTTTTTATCATCTATGATTTAGTTCTTATCCAAAAAGTTCAGATTGGATAGCATCCAATGCTTTAAAAAAATGGACACACATCCGAAGGGATAAGAGGTTAGTATATTTTTATTATTTATATTTGCAAGTAACTATCTGGTAAAAATTTTGGTCCATAGAAACAAATTATTTACTCCCTTAAACAATATAAAAAAGCTAGTCAAGCTTCTGTAAACGAGGTGTTAGAGATGCTTGTCACATTTTAAAATAATATAGTTTTTCAAAAGTTATTTCATTTAACATATACTTAAATACCTATGCTATAGGAGAGCAGCACAGTGTAGCAGAAATAGAATTGAACTGAGATCTTCCTCATCCTTCCAATTTTTTCCAATGACATGCTGTAATTTTGGAAAAGGGCCAGAATTTCTGTATTGGTCAATCTGTTTACTTTTAAAAATAATTCTTCTTTTTTTTTTTTTTTTTTTTTTTTACATTGAAGACCTTGCCATTTCATGCCATGCAGATTATTCTAAAGTCCTTTGGGGATTTCTAAGAGCCAAATAATCATAATAATATTTGATCAGGAAGGAAGATACCTTGTAAGCAGTTAGGTTTATGTAGATGGTTTTGTGGAAAGAGTATTTTCATCGTTCTCAATTCAGCTGCAACAGACTTAGGTTATTTCCCAGCCTTAAATACTTTCCTGCCTTCTCCTTTTTTTCAGCTGGTGAGCTCACCTTGTTCTTAAAATAAAAAGATCAAGGCTATCCCTCATTGTTTCTTATCTTCATCTCACCCTATTTTCTTCCACTTCTACAGACATCTCTCCAAATTTCCATCTCAGCAGACTCTCAGAAGTGCTAGCTTCACCCCGATCATTTGATTGATCATTTTGCTCCTTACTTGTTCCTTTCTTCTCCATTCCATTTCTTTCTCCTTTAGTTTTAATAATGTGCATCTCCTACTTTGACAAAGAGCTTTACTTGACCTTAGTACCACTCTGGCTTCCAGTCAATTTCTATCCACTTTATTTTTGTGACAGACCTCTATCTATGTTGCTTCCCCATCATCACTCCTGTCCTTACCTCTGCAGCATGGTTTTCATCCTACTCACTTATCTTTTTTAAAAAATCACCATCTTTGTTGTCAGCTATAATGACAAATGCAGTCTCCTTGAACACTGGCCATTTTTCAGGGTTTGTTTTTGTTTTTGTTTTTGTTTGAGATGAAGCCTCACTCTGTTGCCCAGGTTGGAGTGCAGTGGCACGATCTCAGCTCATGGCAGCCTCTGCCTCCCAGGTTCAAGTGATTCTCCTGCCTCAGCCTCTTGAGTAGCTGGGATTACAGGCCTACGCCACCACGCCTGGCTAATTTTTGTATTTTTAGTAGAGACAGGGTTTCACCATGTTGGCCAGGTTGGTCTTGAACTCCTGGCCTCAAGTGAGCCTCTTGCCTCAGCCTCCCAAAGTTCTGGGATTACAGGCATGAGCCACCGTGCCCAGCCATTTTGCAGTTTTTGACAATTTTTATTGTAATTCATTCTTGAAACTGTCTACTTCTTTGTCCTTAGTGAAAAGGTACTCTAGTCCTTAGTGAAATGGCACTCTAGTAGTTTTCATCTACTTACTCCTGCCCTTTTCTTTACGGGATGATTTTTAATTCATTTCTCTGTTTCTTTCTGGATATTCTGTCAGTTATCTTACAGTATTATAAAAGAACCAGAGTTCAAAACCAGATATAACATTAATGTTTGATGTTACTATGGGAAAGTAACTGTGCAGCATGAGAATGAGACGATGAGGATTAAAAGAGAACCTGGCTGGGCGCAGAGCTCACAACTGTAATCCCAGTGAGAAGTGAAGCTGGCTGGGCGTCTGGGTTGGGTGGGTACTTGGAGAACTTTTCTGTCTAGCTATAGGATTGTAAATGCACCAATCAGTGCTCTGTGTCTAGCTAAAGGATTGTAAATGAACCAATCAGCACTCTGTATCTAGCTAAATGTTTGTAAACACACCAATCAGTGCTCTGTGTCTAACTAATTGGGTAGGGGACTTGGGTAACTTTTCTGTCTAGCTAAAGGATCGTAAATGCACCAGTGGGCGCTCTGTGTCTAGCTAAAGGTTTGTAAACACACAAATCAGCACTCTGTAAAAACAGACCAATCAGCACTCTGTAAAACAGACCAATCAGCACTCTGTAAAATGGACCAATCAGCACTCTGTAAAATGGACAAATCAGCAGGACGTGGGTGGGGCCAAGTAAGGGAATAAAAGCAGGCCACCTAAGCCACCAGAGGCGACTGCTAGGGTCACCTTCCAGGGTGTGGTAGCTTTGTTGTTTCACTCTTTGTAATAAATCTTGCTGTTGTGCACTCTGGGTCCGCACTACCTTTATGAGCTGTAACACTCACCAGGAAGGTCTGCTGCTTCACTCCTGAAGCCAGCGAGACTACAAACCCACTGGGAGGAATGAACGACTCCGGACATGCCACCTTTAAGAGCTGTAACACTGACTACAAAAGTCTGCAGCTTCACTCCTGAAGTTAGCGAGACCACGAGCCCACTGGAAGAAAGAAACAACTCCGGATGCACCAGCTTTAAGAGCTGTAACACTCACTGGGAAGGTCTGCAGCTTCACTCATGAAGTCAAGTGAGACCACGAACCCACCGGAAGGAAGAAACTGGACACGTCTGAGCACTGGAAGGAACAAACTCCGGATACAGCATCTTCAAGAACTGTTACACTCATTGCGAGGGTCCATGGCTTCATTCTTGAAGTCAGCAAGACCAAGAACCCAGCAGAAGGAACCAATTCTGGACACACCAGCAGTTTGAGAGGCCAAGGTGGGCAGATCACCTGAGGTCAGGAGTTTGAGACCAGCCTGGTCAAAATGGTGAAACCCCGTCTCTAATAAAAATACAAGAAATTAGCTGAGTGTGGCAGTGGGCGCCTGTAATCCCAGCTACTCAGGAGGCGGAGGCGGGAGAATCACTTGAACCGGGAGGTAGAGGTTGCAGTGAGCCAAGATCATGCCATAGCGCTCCAGCCTGGGCGACAGAGTGAGACTCCATCTCAAAAACAAAAAAAAAAAAAAAAAAAAAAGGAGTCTAGCACAGTACCTGGTCAGAGCTAATACCAACCGGTGCAAGTCATCTATGTTTGATGTTCTCCCTGATGTCTTTATTTTTGATACCTCTAAAAGACTTTTCTTCTTTTCTATAAACCTATAGTTTAGGAAAGCATATACTACTGAATTTAATACTTAATTATATACCATCTTTTACCAGTAGCTGATGTTTCATGTTAGCTGTGTCTCTCTAGCTACAAAGCAGGGATCATCCCTAACAATTCCACTGTGTGCCATTCAGTTTTCAATAGGCGACAGATATTATTGAATTAACTAAGACTTTCCCCTTGCTCTGCTCCAGACTTCTAACAGGTGATCCAGGAAATTAAGAATATCATAAGGAATTTAATGTCACCTTGCTTGTCAGCTTTCTGGTTTCCTAGGACTTCCATAAATATGGCTACACTCCAAAATAAAGATCTTAAGGATTGGTGCTAATTTTTTAAAAATTTCCGGCCAGGCGTGGAGGCTCATGCCTGTAATCCCAGCACTTTGGGATGCTGAGGCAGGCAGATCATGGGGTCAAGAGATTGAGACCATCCTGGCCAACATGGTGAAACCCCCTCTCTACTAAAACTACAAAAATTAGCCAGGCATGGTGGCAGGTGACTGTAGTCCTAGATGCTCGGGAGGCTGAGGCAGGAGAATTGCTTGAACCCAGGAGGCAGAGGTTGCAATGAGCCGAGATCACACCACTGCACTCCAGCTTGGGCGACAGAGTGAGACTCCGTCTCAAAAAAAAAAAAAAAAAATCATTCTCTAAATTTTTAGGGTCAGGTTATATACCCCATGTTTTTCACTGTTTCAACAAATTTAGAGTACGATAAAATGTCATACACTAACATAATGATAAATAAAAGAAGGATTCTTTCTTTAAAGAGCTCACAGTTTAAGTAGAGTAGACAAATAGGCGTGCAATTCTATCAGGGTGTGGTAAATAATACCACATGGTAAAAGACTGGGTATTTTAAATGTATACCCCCCGCCCCAGAAAAGCCCTTAAATCATTCTTTGGTAGTTGTGGGTGATGTGGTAATGTGAAAATGCTTCCAGAGAAAATAATCTCTAAGATAAAATCTGATTATTCATTTCAGACAATAAAAATAGAATTACTATTATTTATGTAATTGCTTCTAAAAGAGATGCACATTTGCTTTTAAGTTAATTTTTTAATGTCTTCACTCTCCTGCTTCTTCCCTTTAAAAAAATACTCCCATATTCTGGACTTGTGATGCTGTAAACTAGGTTTCTAGTTATGAGATTTTGGAAAGAATAATTTTAGCAATCAAATATAAGAAAATATTTTAAAAAGTGAATGGTCAATTAAAATTTACTTCCTCTTACTCATAGAAAGTTCACAAAAAGTTTCAAACTCGATATTAGAAGCTAAGAAACTCAATTTTAAAAATGACATATAATGTACAGAAAAATATCAAAATGAAAATTCAGGTGATGCAATATCAAAATTGACATTCAAAGATTGTCAGATCCAAAGTTATGCATACATACTCATGGTTAATGTGAGGCAGAGGAAATATTTTATGATTGGGAAAGGTCACACCAAAGGGCATTTATCCTTCCTGGCTTCCTTGTGTGTAGAAAGGCTTATGGTTACTTTCTTCACAAATGAGTTTATTCAAAGTGAAGATAACATCTCTACCTCTAAGGGTATGAGGAAGAGAACAAAGACTTTTTCTTGGGAAAAAAAAATTGTATATTTCTTGTTAGTAACAGAATGTCTCCCAAGGGGAAAGAACCAAATCGATGAATTTTGTGCTGTGCCCAATTTTCTGATTAGAGAGAAGGGAAAATATTCTCTTCCATTTCCCTACTTATTCTGTAATAAAGTTAAAGC
Source organism: Homo sapiens (assembly GCF_000001405.40). Classification (NCBI taxonomy): domain Eukaryota; kingdom Metazoa; phylum Chordata; class Mammalia; order Primates; family Hominidae; genus Homo; species Homo sapiens. The sequence continues at coordinate 198,866,888 of NC_000002.12, read as the reverse complement.
AAATAGAAAAGAAAATCCAGTTTATCAAAATTCTCCATTGGGAAACCAATGGCTTCTAGTTTACATACTATTTGTAATTAGCTTTAGGGTCTCTCACCTAATTCTTTCCTTTGAATTAATTAAAGTACATTTGAATGTGACAGACATTTCAAAATTCTCTGTAATCTTGCAGGAAGAGATTTTTTTTTTTTTTCATTTTCATTCTTTTTTCCCTCCATAACTATAGAAGCTCCAAGCTCTGAAGATATTACCACAATGCTGCAAGGTTGTTTACCTTCGCTCCTTCACAAAAGATAATCCAACAAATTACATTAATTATAAACCAATATGTTCCATTCAATTCCCATATGAGCCAAACCTGGGGATGAGCATCTGCTCTTATTTTCTGAGCTTGGTTTTGAGGACAAGATTCACAACAATGCTCAATCCATAATTAACAGAAAAATTAAAGATGCAACATCCTGACATCCTGCTTTTTGAAGCAGTATGCTTAAAAATATACATGCCTACTCCTGGCAGGCTTTTTTTCTCCCCAACTCAGAAATAGTTTATTGTTATCCCTGGCATGTTTTTGTTTGTTTAAAATATTTACATGTATGTTGGACTTAAACATGCAAATATTTTCTACAAAAAGAATGAATAATAATTAGCCATTGTGACTTCTAAAAAATTGGGCTTTCATCTTTCTATAGATAATATCCTCTCTTTCTTTTCCCTTAAAAATCGTGTTTATTGTGTATTAAGCATATTGTTTCATGGTATGGGAAATGGAAATGGACAAAATTTATTTAGAATATTTGGTTTTCTTTTTTTCCTGCTTGGCCCATAAAAAGAAATAATAGTAAATTGTACCAGATACCCATATACAACTACATATATATTTAGCACATACATCTTTTATTCTATTCATGGAAATCCCAGTTAAACAGTTGGTGGTAAACAAATATTTAAAATATCTGCATTATAGATACCTAATTCATATATAGCGTCCATATGTGATTGAATATAAATAGGCACACTGTTTAAGTACACCCACACACCACACACAAAGTGAGTGGAGGGAAGGGCAGCGAATGAGCTTCTCTTTTTCTTGTGCAGATATGTAGTACCTTAGTATAATGTGAACATGAGCATTCTTTACATAATTGCTCTGAGATCCTAAGAAGAAAGGAGTCATAAAATGAGCATAATTCTATGTACCTCTGAAGTGGTTTATCATTTATCTTTACTGCATATCCAATCAAGAAGGAAAAGTTATTCTGCTTTCATTGAACGTCCTCTGCCTCGAGTTATTCTCAACACCAGCTAGGTGGACTTAAAAAATCTTGCCATACTGAAATGGATTTTTATCGTAGAATTCGTGTTGTTGGAGAGAGATGAACGTGGTACAAGATTCTTGGTTCTTTGAGTGATAGGAAGTCCAGGTGACTCTTACGGTGGTCTCATGGGATGCTATGTCACAGAACACTGGCCTGGAGGCTGGATGCTCAGAACCACTGGCCTGATTTCTATGGAAAGAGAAAGTTTATCAGTGGGGTGGGCAGGGAGGGCAGCTGGCTCTGGCTTCATATTCACAAGAGGCCTGCAATTTGTATGTTAATATTCTCTCCAAAAGAAGTTTTACATAAAATCATGAACAACATTGAAAGAAGGACATAATACTTAAGATGCTTCTAACTACAAGCAAGAAAAATCCCAACTAAGCTGTTTCTTAAGTTTTTAGAAGTTACTGTTTTAAATAATAAAATGGTCACAAGCTGGCAGTGTTTGTGGGTTCGTAAAGTCATCAAGGACAGACCCAGGCTTTCCCATCTTTTCACTCTGATATCATTCATGCTTGGGTTTGTTCTCAGTATTGCCACTTCATTATTTCAAAATGACTGCCACAGCTCCAGACATCATATTCTCACACAGCATGTTCCAAAGTAGGAAGAGCCAGAAGGGGAGAAAAATCTTCACCTTCTCTAAGGCCCTCTATTTTTAGGAAGGAAAATATCTCCCAGGAACCCCCTGTTAATTTCCCTTAAGGTCTTTTTGGCTAGAATTGGGTACCATGACAAGGAACATAATAATATTAGCTTAGTGCAAAAGTAATTGCAGTTTTGGACCGTGAAGGTAAAATCATTATAACTAGGCTCAAACACATTAATAACCAAAATAGAAACCATTACAATCAACACATTTTTGCCAACAAGAAGTAAGTTTTATTCCTGTAGCGTAAAAATCCATGTTTTGGGATTTGATGAACTCTTGGAAAGCATTTTCTGCATCCTGCTGGTTGTGGGAGCATTTTCCCTGAAAAAAGTTGTTGAGCTGCTTGAAGAAGTGGTAGTCATTTGGAAAGAGGTCAGGTGAATACGGCAGATGAGGCAAAACTTCGTAGCCCAATTAGTTCAACTGTTGAAGCATTGGCTGTGCAACGTGTGGTCGGGAGTTGTTGTGAAGAAGAATTGGGCCCTTTCTGTTGACCAGTGCCAGCTGTGGGCATTGCAGTTTTTGGTGCATCTCATTGATTTGCTGAACATAGTTATCAGATGCAATGACTTCACTGGGATTCAGAAAGCTTTAAGGGATCAGACCGGCTGCAGACCACCAAACAGCGACCATGACCTTTTTTGGTGCAAGTTTCGCTTTGGGAAGTGCTTTGGAGCTTCTTCTCGGTCCAGCCACTGAGCTGGTCATCATCGATTGTCATATAAAATCCCCTTTTCAGGGCCTGTCACAATGCAATTGAGAAATTGTTTGTTGTTTTTGCATAGACTAAGAGAAAACAACACTTCAAAACAACAAACTTTTGTATTTTTGGTCAGCTCATCAGGCACCCACTTATTGAGCTTTTTCACCTTTACAATTTGTTTCAAATGCCAAATGATCCTAGGAATGGTCAACGCTGAGTTCTTCAGCAGCTTCTTGTATAGTTCTGAAAGGTTCAGCTCAGATGATTGCTCTCAGTTGGTTGTTGTCAACTTCCTGTGGCCGGCCATTAGGCTCCTCATTTTCAAGGCTCTTGTCTCCTTTCCAAAACTTCTTGAGCCACCACCGCACTGTATGTTTGTTAGCGGTTCCTGGGCCAAATACATACTTGATGTTGTGAGTTGTCTCTGCTGCTTTATGACTCATCTTGGACTCAAGAAAATCACTCGAATTTTCTTTTTGTCTAACATCATTTCCATAGTGTAAAATAAATATAAAATAAACAGCAAGTAATAAATCATTAGCAAAAAAACCAGAAAGCAATAAATGGGCATTAAAATAATATATAAAATAACTACATTTATTTAAGAATGTATTCCAATATCAAATGGCAAATTTCAACAATGCAAAAACCACAATTACTTTTGCACCAACCTAGTGTGATTAGACTAGGTCAATAATATTTCATTTTTATTATTTTCTAAGACTGAGAACATTGTTGCCAATGAGAAAATTGCTGTTGCAAAAATAAACAAGAGTTTGCTTCCCATCATGTATCTGTTGTACAGCATTGCACATGTGACCTTTACCAGGCTCTATCATCTGGAGTGCACTGTAATATAAACACACAAACAGGCACATGCACAGATACATCTATTATACATATATTTCTGTATAATGCCACAAAAATTATTTATATGTATATATTCCTATACTTTATAATGCCACAATTTTTTGCATTGGATGTTCTTACAGTATTAATAATGTTTATTAGTTACATAAAAACAATTTTCGGCCGGGCGCGGTGGCTCACGCCTGTAATCCCAGCACTTTGGGAGGCCGAGGCGGGCGGATCACGAGGTCAGGAAATCGAGACCATCCCGGCTAAAACGGTGAAACCCCGTCTCTACTAAAAAATACAAAAAATTAGCCGGGCGTAGTGGCGGGCGCCTGTAGTCCCAGCTACTTGGGAGGCTGAGGCAGGAGAATGGCGTGAACCTGGGAGGCGGAGCTTGCAGTGAGCCGAGATCCCGCCACTGCACTCCAGCCTGGGCGACAGAGCGAGACTCCGTCTCAAAAAAAAAAAACAATTTTCAAATATTACATGATGTTTGCCAATCTGTTTTGGAATTTCTTCTTATACATTTTTTCAAAGTATGGAATGGCATAGGCCTCTCTCAACCTCTATGAGATACTGGTGGTAGAATTTGCCAGCCGTGTGTTTATAAACATTTGTTACTTAATTTCTCTATACCTCATTTTTTCCATGGATGAAACTGGAATAAAATTCCTAGGCTGCCTAATTGGATCCTGCTCCATGGGAAGGATCCAATGATCCAATGCATGAATTACATAATACTGCTTTGGGAACGGCCTCAACTGGTAATCTCTATGTTATCCTTTTAGTGTTTCATACTGAGCTGCAGTGCAAAGATGGGTGGGGAAGCTTGCTCTGAGTCCCAGGCCACAGTGCTGGTCAGCACAGGAGTTTCCAGTGAAGGAGCTGGAGGCCCACTGGTTCCACTTGTCCTCCTTCCCTGCCCAGCCAACCACAACATGCCTCCAAAGGCAGAAAGTCTAACACTGGCCCAATTGTCTTCTGGGATATTTTGACCCCATCAGGAGACACTTTCCAAACATCACATTATTCAGTGTATTGTTGTACAACATTTGTAAGGATTGAGTTGTCCCCATAGAGTTTAACATAACATTTGGTAAGAGACAGAAATTAAGGCTTTGTAAATCCCATGTTTCTGAGATTTTATCTACTCTACCCCCTCTTCAACGAGGTTCCAAAAATGCTAGGAAAATCACTTTTAGTATTTTCACTGACACCAGTAAATAAGCTTCTTGCACCTCTTTTGGTCCAGATGTTTTCACACACAGAATATGGCTGGGCTCAAACCTCTGATGTGAATTTGGACATGTTATATTTAGCTGAGGGCTTAGCATCTGTCTCGTTTCTTCAGTTCACAATATTATCGACTGCTGTCTCTGGCCTGAGCATTCTTCAAAGGGCAGACACATAGTTAAGAAGTTCAAAATTAAGATGAGGAGACAAAACCCACAGGTATAAGGTATACCTGAAAATTATTTTTACAGCAATTGTCATATTATGTTATAATTCTGTGTTTTGTTTTGTTTTGTTTTGTTTTGTATTCCCCCAAGTCCTTGTAAGTTATTTAAGGATAGGAATGTGTCTTTTGTTTCTCTTTGAATCTCTACTGACTTGTATGGTACCTGATATGTAGCAGTTGCTCAATACATGTTTACTGAATAAATAAGATTACTAAGATATGAATAAAGAATTAAGTAAAACCAAATGTGTAAGACACTGGGCAGGTTCAGGTGAGTAATTCATGAAGGATTTCTGGAAGGATATGGAAGGTAAGGAGAGAAGACAGAATCAGATTTGGATGCATGTGGGTAAAAATAAGAGTAGGGTAGAGATGAGGGAGTGGAAAGAGCCATGTGGCAGCATTTTAAGAAGCAGAAATAACATTTGGAAAGACCCAGAAATGAGAAATATTATCTGAGAAACACCATGAAGCCTATATTGAAGAAAAAGCTTTTTTCTTTTTTTCCCTAATACTATAACCTTATTTCCAACCTTTTACTTTTACTGTATCAAGGGAGAGGCAACTAAGTACTTATAGCTTATTTACATGTGTATAGTGTAAGAAGTACTCTCTCCTAAGATCTCTAAGGGGGAGTATGCAAAGATATGGAAACTTGGAAATTAGGAGCCTCAAGAATTCTCCCTTCATTAAGAGACAATGTGAAGTTTTGGTGTAGGTTATTTGGCAGAGAAGGGATTGTGAGAGATCCTAAAAGCCAAATAATTTTTTCCTCCTAAAGTTTCTTCCTAGAGAGATGGATTTCCGCTGTGCGCCTCACAGGTTTCTCGGCATTTTATTAGGAATGAATTATCCCAGCCATAGTTTCAGACACTGCAACTTTTGCTAAAATTCTCTGCTTAGAGATTTGTATTCTCCTGGGGCTTTATCACACCCTTATTCTTAAAAATCTCCTGGAAGCCAGTAAACAATCCAGTGAGTCAAAGTTCTTGGCACTGCATGCCCTTTTCCAATTCACCTGGTATTAGAATGATAAGCAGAAAAACTGATTGTAAGTCCAATCAAGTAATAGGAAGGAAGAGGTTCCATCTGTGTTCCCACCATGAATTATCTTCTGTATAACAGCAGGCCCAGGTCAGGAGGGGAAGGTAGGATGGGAAAATTCTAAAAAACTTCTGATTGGTTCTCATTACATCAGTAAGTGCTTACTATGCATGTAACAGTTAAAAGCCACCTTTTCTTACTTTTCTTTTTCTTTTTCTTCCTCTTTGTTTTTATTTTCTTTCAACACCTTCCCTGTGCTCATTTAAGCAGTGAAAGAATAGGAAAATTCATTTCATGGCCAAATGTTTTAGTATGATTTTGGAAAGTGTTCACTGAATCTTAGATTCAACAAGCTGAATCTTTCTTATTTTATTTTATTTTTAGTCTTGTTCTTGTCTGCCCATAGCTGAGGTGGGCTTTATTTTTTAATTTTTAATTCTTGTGAGTACAAAATAGGTGTGCATATTTATGGGGTACATGAGATATTTTAATACAAGCATGCAATGCATAATAAACACATCATGAAAAAGGGGGTATTCATCCCCGCAAGCATTTATCCTTTGTGCTACAAACAATCCAATTACACTCTTAGTTATTTTAAATGTACAATTAAATTATTTTGACTAGAGTCACCCTGTTGTGCTATCAAATACCAGGTCTTATTTATTTGCTCTATTTATTTTCTTGTGCCCATTAACCATCCCCACCTTCCCCTCCCAACCCTCCCACTGCCCTTCCCAGCTTCTGGTAATCATCCGTCTACTCTCTATCTCCATGAGTTCAATTTTAGTTTGATTTTTAGATCCCACAAATAAATGAGAACTGTGATGTTTGTCCCTCTGTGCCAGGCCTATTTCACCTAACATAACGACCTTCAGTTCTATCCATGTTATTGCAAATGACAGAATCTCATTCTTTTTTATGGCTAAATAGTACTCCATTGTGTATAAGTATCACATTTTCTGTATACATTCATCTGTTGATGGACACTTAGGTTGCTTCCAAATCTTGGCTATTATGAACAGAGCTACAACAAACATGAGAGTGCAGATATCTCTTAGATACTCTGATTTCCTTTCTTTTGGGTATATACCAGTAGTGGGATTGCTCAATCATATGATAGCTCATTTTTTCATTTTTTGAGGAACCTACAAACTGTTCTCCATAGTGATTGTACTAATTTACATTCCCACCAACAGTGTATGAGGGTTCCTTTTTCTCCACATCCTTGCCAGCATTCGTTATTGGCTGCCTTTTGGATATAAGCCGTTTTAACTGGGGTGAAATGATGTCTCATTGTAGTTTTGATTTGCATTTCTCTGATGATCAATGATGTTAAGCACCTTTTCATATGCCTGTTTGCCGTATGTATGTCTTCTTTTGAGAAATGTCTGTTCAAACCTTTTGCCCATTTTTGATTAGATCAGTAGATTTTTTCCTATAGAGTTGTTTGAGCTCCTTATATATCCTGGTTATTCATCCTTTGACAGATGGGTAGTTTGCAAATATTTTCTCCTATGCTGTGGTTGTCGCTTTACTTTGTTGATTGTTTCCTTTGCTGTGCAGAAGTTTTTTATAACTTCATGTGATCCCATTTATCCATTTTTTGCTTTGATTGCCTGTGCCCATGGGGTGTTACTCAAGAGATTTTTGCCCAGGCCATTGTCCTGGAGTTTCCCCAATATTTTTTTGTAGTAGTTTTATAGTTTGAATTCTTATATTTAAGTCCTTAATTCATTTTTATTTGATTTTTATACATAATGAGAGATAGGGGGCTGGTTTGATTCTTCTGCATCTGTATATTGAGTTTTCCTAGCACCATTTGTTAAAGAGGCTGTCTTTTCCTCAGTGTATGTTCTTGGCACCTTTATAAAAAATGAGTTTACTATAAGTGTGTAGATTTGTTTTTGGGTTCTCTATTCTGTTCCATTGGTCTTTGTGTCTCTTTTTGTGCCAGTACCATGCTGTTTTGGCTACTATAGCTCTATAGTATAATTTGAAATCAGGTAATGTGATTCCTCCAGTTTTGTTGTTTTTATTTAGGATAGGTTTGGCTATTCTGTGTCTTTTGTGGTTTCATATAAATTTTAGGATTGATTTTTCTATTTTGTGAAGATTGGTATTTTTATAGGGATTGTATTAAATCTGTAGATTGTTTTCTGTGGTATGCACATTTTAATAATATTGATCCTTCCACTCCATGAACATGAAACGTCTTTCCATTTTTTTGTATCCTCTTGAATTTCATTCATCAGTGTTTTATAGTTTTCATTGATCTTTGATTTCTTTGGTTAATTCCTAGGTATTTAATTTTATTTGTGGCTATTGTAAATAGAATTATTTTTTGATTTCTTTTTCAAATTGTTCACTGTTGCTACTGATTTTCGTATGTTGATTTTGTATCCTGCAACTTTACTGAATTTATTTATTAGCTGAATTTACTGAATTTATTTATTAGCTCTAAGAGTTTTTTGGTGGAGTCTTTAGGTTTTTCCAAATATAAGATCATATCATCTGCAAACAAGGATAATTTGACTTCCTCCTTTCCAATTTGGATGCCCTTTATTTCTTTTTCTTGTCTAATTGCTCTAACTAGGACTTCTAGTACTATGTTGAATAATAATTGTCAAAGTGAGTATCCTTGTAATGTTCTAGATTTTAGAGGAAAGGTTTTCAGTTTTTCCCCATTCAGTATGTTACTAGCTGTGGGTCTGTCATATATGGCTTTTATTATATTGAGGTATGTTCCTTCTATTCCCAGTTTTTTGAGGACTTTTATCATGAATGTGTATTGAATTTTATCAAATGCTTTTTCAGCATCAGTTGAAATAATCATAAAGCTTTCACCTTTCATTCTGTTGATATAATGTATCACACTGATTGATTTGCATATGAGGAACCATCCTTGCATACCTGTGATAAATCCCACTTGGTCATAATGAATGATATTTTTAATATATTCAAGAAGCTGAATAGTTCTGCAGACACCATGCCCATCACTTATAAAAGTCTCTAAAGTTGTTAAGTGTCTACATGCTACTCATTTCTTGTTCTAATTAATAAATAATCAGTATTTTTACAAAACAATGGACTAACTGTGATGACAACTTTAAAATTGGGGGAGGAATGAAGGGGAATGTAAAGATGCCCCATTGTGTGGAAATGTCCAGTCAAAAAATAAGTGCATATTTTCTTTACAAACAATACTTCATCTCAGAGTGTCAAACATACAATTCCATTTTTAAAGAACCCTAATTTCATCTACATTTACAGGACTCTGCTTGGGTAACATATTTGTAATTTTACAGATTTTTTTGGGGGGGTGTCATTTACATTAATAAAATAGGGAAGTTTCCTTCCACACAGAGACTCAACTGAAAGGAGGAACCTGGGGCTGCCATGGCAGAAGCCTACATTTTACCTCACAAAATTGTGGGCATATTACTAGAGCAGGGTTTCATAATCTGAGAACCACAAAGATCTTAAAAAAATTGTTCTCAAACTTTGTGGCCTCACGACCCCTAAGCACTCTTAAAAATAAAGACTTAGAGCTTTTCTGGGTTATCAATATAGATATTTTCTGTATTTGAAATTAAAATGAAGATATTTTTAAAAATCTTATTAATTTATTTTAAATTAAATTAATAAACCCATTCTATATTTATATAAATAACATTTTCATTAAAAAGCTATATTTTTCAAAGCATGAAAAAAATAGAAGAATGCCTTTGTTTCACATTTTTACCTATCTATTTATTTGTCCAGTTTAAGAAAAGTCAACTGTTTTCTCATATCTACTTCTGTATTCAAAATGTTGCAACATATGGTTTTGATTGAAGACAACATGGCCTCATACAGATATGTAGTTGTGAAAAAAAGGAGTATTTGAATAGCCTTTTCAGGTAATTGTGAATATTCTGTTTTAATACTACAGCAAAACTGGACAAATAGTAGTTTTATTAAGGATAGTTGCAATATGTGATTTAAACCATTATGAATGTACCATTTGAATTCTGTTACATTAAAACCCTTTGGCTTATCTCATTTGCTTTTTTTCTTTTTTAGTGGTATCTCATTGTACTTTTAATTTCTATTTTCTTTTTTAAAAATAATTTTAACATTTATTTTAAACTCAGGGGGTACATGTGTAGGTTCGTTACAAAGGTATATTGCATGATTCTGAGGTTTGAGGTATGATTGATCCTGTCCCCCAGGTGCTGAGCATAGTACTCAATAGTTAGTTTTTCAACTTTTACCCTCTTCCTCTCTCCCCACTCTAGTAATCCCTAGTGTCCTTTATGTCTGTGAATACCCAGTGTTTAATTCCCACTTATATGTGAGAACATGTGATACTTGGTTTTCTGTTTCCGTGTTAATTTGCTTAGCACAATGACCTCCAGCTGTATATATGTTGCCACAAAGGACATAATTTCTTTCTTTTTTATGGCTACATAGTATTTCATGGTGTATATGTACCACATTTTCTTTATCCAATCCACCATTGATGGGCGCTTATGTTGATTCTATGTTTTTGGTATTGTGAATAGTGCTGCGATGAACATATTCATGCATGTGTTTTTTTGGTAGAAGGATTTATTTTCTTTTGGGTGTATACCCAGTAATGGGATTGCTGGGTTGAATGGTAGTTCTATTTTAAGTTCTTTGAGAAATCTCTAAACCACTTTTCTTTTGATTATTATTATTATTATGCTTTAAGTTCTGCGATACATGTGCAGAATGTGCAGGTTTGTTACATAGGTATACATGTGCCATGGTGGTTTGCTGCATCCATCAATCCGTCATCTAGGTTTTAAGCCCCACATGCATTAGATATTTGTCCTAATGCTATCCTTCCCCTTGCCTCCCAGCCCGATAGGCCCCGGTGTGTGACGTTCCCCTCCCTGTGTCCATGTGTTCTCATTGTCTAAACCACTTTTCACGGTGGCTGAAGTAATTTACATTCCCACCAACAGTGTATAAGTTGTCCCTTTTCTCTGCAGCCTTACTAGCATCTGTTGTTTTTTGACTTTAGTAACAGCCATTCTGACTTGTGTGAGATGTTATTTCATTGTGATTTTGATTTACATTTCTCTGATCATTAGTGCTATACAGCATTTTCTCATGTTTGTTAGCTGCTTGTATGTCTTCTTTTGTTAAGTGTTCATGTCTTTTACTCATTTTTAATGGGGTTAATTGTTATTTGTTTGTTCAATTGGTTAAGTCCCTTATAGATACTGGATATTAGATCTTTGTCAAATGCATAGTTTGTGAACATTTTCTCCCATTCTGTAGGTTGTCTGTTTACTCTGTTGATAGTCTCTTTTGCTGTGCAGAAGCTCTTCAGTTTAATTAGGTCCCACTTGTCAATTTTTTTGTTGCAATTGCTTTTGAGGACTTAGTCATAAATTCTTTACCAAAGCCAAAGTCCAGAATGGTATTTCCTAGGTTTTCTTCTATAATTCTTATGTTTTGAGGTTTTACATTTAAATCTTTAATTCATCTTGAGTTGATTTTTGTATCAACTCAAGGTAGAAGTCCAGTTTCATTTTTCTACATATTGCTAGCCAGGTATCTCAGCACCTTTTATTGAATAGGAAGTCCTTTCCCCATTGCTTTTGTTGACTTTGTCAAAGATCAGATGGCTGTAAATGCTTGGTTTTATTTCTGAGTTCTTTATTCTGTTCCATTGGTCTATGTGTCTGTTTTTGTACTAGTACCATGCTGTTTGGTTACTGTAGCCTTATAGTATAGTTTGAAGTCAGAACATTGGGCCTATTTTATATGGGTATTAATCCCATTCAAGAAGATTCCACTTCCATGAACTAATCACCTCCCAAAGGTCTCACCTCCTAATGCCATCACCTTGGGGGTTAGGAATCCAACATATTAATTGTGAGAGGATATAAACATCCAGGCAATAGCAAATCTGAAAGAGATCTGGAGAAAAATTCATAGTTCTAATCCTTGCTAGTTTTGATACAAATTTTACTATATTTAGTAGACATTCTTAGTATTTTGTATGTGTTTGGGGCAGAGGGGTTAGTAACCATTTTTAGGTTATTTTGAAAGGTGGGTTATTTTACATTCTTATTTTATCATTTATTTGGTTTTATAAAGCTGAGTGGAATAAAAATATCTTGATTCTGACATCATTTATTGAACATTCTCAATGTCTTCATATTTATCATTTTTTCAGTTTTTATTGTGTAAAAGTAAGATATATATAGATAGATGTGTAGATATATATAGAGAGACTTATTTATTCCTAATTATGGCTTCTATTTTGTCAGTAACCATACAATTATATCTCTACTTATGGTTAAGGTAAATGTACTATGCCAGTGTGGCATATTGAAACATATAAAGATTTAGATCTGCTTCAAATTCCAAAACTTCCATTAACTTGCTTTGTTTCTTTTTTTTAACCTTTAAGTTCAGGAGTGCATGTACAAATTTGCTACATAGGTAAATTCATGTCATGAAGGTTTGCTGTACAGATTATTTCATCACCCTGGTATTAAGCCTAGTACACATTAGTTATTTTTCTTGATCCTCTCCCTCCTACTACCTTCCACCCTCCAGTAGGTCCCAGTGTGTGTTGTTTCCCTGTATGTGTCCATGTGTTTCCATCATTTAGCTCCTGCTTATAAGTGAGAACAGGCAGTATTTGGTTTTCTGTCCTTGTGTTAGTTTGCTAAGAATAATGGCCTCCAGCTCCATCATGTTACTGCAAAGGACACAATCTCATTTTCTTTTATGACTGCATAGTATTCTATGGTGTATATATACCACATTTTCTTTATCCAGTCTACCATTGTTGGGGATTTAGGTTGATTTCATGTCTTTGTTATTGTGAATAATGTTGTGATGAACATACATGTGCATGTGTCTTTATAATAGAATGATTTATACTCCTTTGTGTATATACTCAGTAATGAGATTGCTGGGTTGAATGGTAGTTCTGATGTTAGGTTTTTGAGGAATTTCTACACTGCTTTCCACAATGTATAAGTATTCCCTTTTCTACATAACCTCACCAGCATTATTATTGTTATTATTTTTTACTTTTTATTAATAGCCATTCTGACTGGTATGAGATGGTATCTCATTGTGGTTTTGATTTGCATTTCTCTAATGATCAGTGATGTTGAGCTTTTCCTCATTTGCTTATTGGCCGCATATATGTCTTCTTTTGAAAATCGTTTGTTCATATCCTTTGCCCACGTTTTAATGTGGGTGGTTGTTTTCTGGTAAATTTGTTTATATAGATGCTAGATATTAGGACTTTGTCAGATGTATAGGTTGCAAACATTTTCTCCCATTCTGTAGGTTGTCTGTCTACTTTACTGATGGTTTCTTTTGCTGTGCAGAGGCTATTTAGTTTAATTAGATCATATTTGTCAATTTTTGTTTTTGTTGCAATTGCTTTTGGCATCTTTGTCATAAAATCTTTGCCAATTCCTATGTCAAGAATGGGATTGCCTAGGAATGTCTTAAATTCATCTTGAGTTAATTTTTATATATGATACAAGGAAAGAGTCCAGTTTCATTCTTCTGCTTATGGCTAGCCAATTATCCCAGCGCTGCTTATTAAATGGGGAATCCTTTCCCCAGTGGTTGTTTTTGTCAGCTTTGTCAAAGATCAGATGGTTGTGGGTGTGTGGCTTTATTTCTGGACCCTCTATTTTGTTCCATTGGTCTATGTGTCCGTTCTTATGCTAGTACCATGCTATTTCGGTTACTGTAGCCCTGTAATATAGTTTGAAGTTAGGTAGTGTAATGGCTGCAGCTTTGTTCTTTTGCTTAGTATTGCCTTGGCTATTTGGGCTTTTTTGTTGTTGTTGTTCCGTATGAATTTCAAAATAGATTTTTTCTAGTTCTTTCTGACTTCCATTGAATGAATCTTTACCCATGCATGATTTTATGTCACCATGCAGTGGCCATTTGGAAAATATTGGTTTATGGAGTTATACAGATCTTCCAAATGTCGCCATATACAACATATTTTAAAAATAATTTTGTTAGTATCATCTTTGATCAAATAAAAAATGTCTTAGGGAAGCTGTCAGGTGCATAATGGTATATATGTTTTCTAAAGTTCTTTGACCTTTGGGAACAAATACTTTTAGGTTTTTTGTTTTTTTTTTCTTGAAGTTATACTCTCTTTGTTTATTTGTGAGAAAATCTCTACCAAATACCCAAACTGTTGTCTGAACAACATTAGTTTGTCAGTCGGTCATCTTATCAAGTAAAAATAGTGTTCTAATAACAGAGAAACAATAAGTTCAGCTCACAGCTTAACCACCAGTACCCTTCCTCAAGACAACCTTATACTTCAGGATGCAGCAGAAGCATTACATGTAGACTTCCTGTTCCATATACAGAATGTCACTCAAGGTTTGACATCCAATAAAGTTAACAATTTTATTGCATCATCAAGGAGTTGCCTAAGTGAAACTGATTTTTAAATTTGTGTTCCTTATTTTTATTGTAAGTGCATGGCATTGAAGAATACCATGATTAATAGACAATATAGTGAATACAATGTTAGTTTATTCCTGCTGCCTTGATTCATGCTAAGGGGCCAACGGTTTTATCCAATATTACTTTTGTATTATAAGTGCAAATGTCAATACAGAGATAAAGGGAAATATTGTGTACGTATAATTATGAAAATAGATTCGACCTCCTGTATGTCTGAAGTGAGTCTTGGGGACCATAAGAGTACACAGACCATAATTCGAGATCCTCTGCTCTTGAACACCAGTGAATAGATGTAAGTTTTATCACTGGATGTGTATATATGTGTGTACTTTTCTCTTAGGGCAATGTCCAGAGCCTTCATTCTATTTTTTAGAAATGTGACGTAACCCAAAACAATTTAAGAAGTGTTGGATGTTGAGGTGCAGTCAAGCAGTAGGTGCCTTGCGATTTTTCAAATGAAGAAATGTGGCTTTAAAAAGTTTAGCCATTTGAACAAAGTTACACAGCCTGTAAAAAGGAGAGTCAGGACACCATTCCATTTTTCTTTTTGGCCTTAAAGTTCATGTTCTCAACCCCTATGCTAGAACTTAGGATAAGGCATTGTGAAAAATGGTACAGGAATACAAGAATAATGAGATGCAATGGGTCTTGTCATTCTTGTATTCCTGTACCAACGTGGCCTCAAGAAATTTGCAATATAGAATGAAAGATGAGGCATATAAAGAAATTTTAAACAAAAATAGCATGAAAAGGATAAATAACATTCACCTAGAGTATGTTGGGGGCTTACAAACAAGGACGTCCCATCAAATTTCACAGACCAAGAAAGATGTAGTGACCTTGGCAAGAAGATGGCCTTCAGAATGATTGTTACAGGTAGAAGCAATGTCATAAACAAAGGCAGAGAGCCAGGAAATTGAGGGTTGTGGTTCAGAAACCATGGGTAATCTAGTTCAGCTGGAGAGCCTGGAAATCATATACAAGTGAATTTAGTAAAATGTATTGAAATCAGAGGGTTATATGCTGAAATGAAGAGCTATATAAGACTTGGGATTCCACAGAGCCATTGAAAGATTTTTGAATAAGATTTGGGATTATCGTGCTCTTTTGCCTTGGTACATTCTTGGGACACTATTATTCATTGAGCAGTGTTTATTCAATGCCAGGACACTTTAAATGGAAAGAGTTTATGAAGGATTGTTTATTATAATTGTTATAATTTACCAGAGAAAGAAAATAATAATTTTCTTTCTTTTGTAAAAAGATGAATGAACGGTATTTAAAATGTGGCTTTCCATTGATGCTTGAGAAATATATTCACTTGCATAGACATTTTCTGATTATCACTGGATCAATATAATGGAACAATTATTCGTATTTCTCAAAATGGTTTCTATTCATGCTATTTGCTCAATACCAAGGATGTGGCCTGATATAACTAAAAAAAAAAAAGAGCATCAATCAAGTGTTCTCACCAGTCTGCTTAAACTTCCATTTGAACTATTAAAAAATGTTTAGATTCTCTTGGAAAGAAGAAAGGAAGTCTCAGTGCAAACCATAATGCAGAGAATAGTGAAATAGTTACTGAAAACAGGAATCCCACATTCCCACTCTGAAGAAAGACATTCTATCACTACAGGACTTCCTGGGTGTATGCTGCTAGATGGAGGCTCTGAGACTGTTACCACCACATTCAGGGTTGGAAGAGTTGTTTGTTTCCTTTCTTTTGGGGCCTATACAGGGCCATTAGCTGTGCAAATGATTTCTACTTCAGTTGAAAGAGGCTTGTAAATATACAGCTCTCTTGGAAATTCCTGGCTGTAAAGATCTACATAACTGCCATGTTTCTCCTGGAAATCAATATTCCACTGGCTAAGTACTACTGCCACCACTACCAGCACCACCATCACGATTGCCACTACCATTACTGGTGGCCACATATTGTGTACTAAGTACCATTTCTGTGCCAAACAATTTACAGGCAAACCTCTAAGGTTGGTATATTTCCTTCATTTTATACACATAAAATGGAGGATTAGAAGAGTTAAAAAAAAATCATAAAGGTACAAAGCTAGTCAAGAGGCAGTCTGTCCCTAAACCTCTCCCCTCACCTAGCTAATGCCTACTTATCCAGAAGCCTCATTTTTAATTTTTTTTTAATTTTTCCATATGTTATTGGAGTACAGGTGGTATTGGATTACATGAGTAAGTTCTTTAGTGGTGATTTGTGAGATCCTGGTGCACCCATCACCCAAGCAGTATACACTGCACTGTATTTGTGGTCTTTTATCCCTTGCCCTCCTCCCGTTCTTCCTATCAAGTCCCCAAAGTTCACTGTATCATTCTCATGCCTTTGTGTCCTCATAGCTTAGCTCCCACATTATCAGTGAGAACATATGATGTTTGGTTTTCCCTTCCTGAGTTACTTTACTTAGAATAATAGTCTCCAATCTCATACAGGTCATTGCAAATGCTGTTAATTCATTCCTTTTTATGACTGAGTACTATTCCATATATATATATATAAAATGGAATTATGTATATATAAAATATATATAAAATATATGTATAATGGAATTATATATATATAACATGTATAATGGAATTATATATATATAACATGTATAATGGAATTATATATATATAACATGTATAATGGAATTATATATATATAACATGTATAATGGAATTATATATATAATATGTATAATGGAATTATATATATATAATATGTATAATGGAATTATATATATATAATATGTATAATGGAATTATATATATATAATATGTATAATGGAATTATATATATATAATATGTATAATGGAATTATATATAATATGTATAATGGAATTATATATATAATATGTATAATGGAATTATATATATATAATATGTATAATGGAATTATATATATATAATATGTATAATGGAATTATATATATATAATATGTATAATGGAATTATATATATATAATATGTATAATGGAATTATATATATAATATGTATAATCGAAATATATATATAATATGTATAATCAAATTATATATATATAAAATGGAATTATATATATATAAAATATATATAATTCCAATATGTATAAAATATATAATGGAATTATATATATAAAATATATATATGATGGAATTATATATATAAAATATATATATGATGGAATTATATATATAAAATATATATATGATGGAATTATATATATAAAATATATATATGATGGAATTATATATATAAAATATATATATGATGGAATTATATATATAAAATATATATGATGGAATTATATATATAAAATATATATATGATGGAATTATATATATAAAATATATATATGATGGAATTATATATATAAAATATATATATGATGGAATTATATATATAAAATATATATATGATGGAATTACATATATAAAATATATATATGATGGAATTACATATATAAAATATATATATGATGGAATTACATATATAAAATATATATATGATGGAATTACATATATAAAATACATATGATGGAATTACATATATAAAATACATATGATGGAATTACATATATAAAATACATATGATGGAATTATATATATAAAGTATATATATGATGGAATTATATATATAAATATATATGTAATATATAATATATTATGTAATATATAATATATTATATATTATGTAATATATGATACATATATAATATATATTATATATAATATGTATAATATATAATATATATAATATAATATATATATATAATGTGCAAAGAAACTGTACACAGTTTCTTTATCCACTCGTTGATTGATGGGTATTTGGGTTGGTTCCACGATTTTGCAATTGTGAATTGTACTGCTATAAACATGCATATGCAAGTATCTTTTTTGAATAATGACTTCTTTTCCTCTGGGTAGATACCCAGTAGTGGGATTGCTGGATCAAATGGTAGCTCTACATTTAGTTCTTTAAGGAATCTCCACATTGTTTTCCATAGTGGCTGTACTAGTTTACATTCCCACCAGCAATGTAGAAGTGTTCCCTGATCGCCACATCCACACCAACATCTACTGTTTTTTGATGCTTTGATTATGGCCATTCTTGGAGAAGTAAGGTGGTATCACACTGTGGCTTTGATTTGCATTTCCCTGATCATTAGTGATGTTGAGCATTTTTTAATATGTTTTTTGGCCATTTGTATATCTTCTTTTGAGAACTGTCTATTCATGTTAGCCCACTTTTTGATGGGATTGTTTGTTTTTTTACTGGTTTGTTTGAGTTCGTTGTAGATTCTGGATATTAGTCCTTTGTCAGATGTATAGATTGTGAGGATTTTCTCCCATTCTGTGGTTGTCTTGTTTACTCTGACTGTTCCTTTTGCCATGCAAAAGCTCTTTAGTTTAATTAGGTCCCAGCTATTTATCTTTGTTTTTATTGCTTTTGCTTTTGGGTTTTTGGTCATGAAATCCTTGCCTAGGCCAATGTCTAGAAGGGTTGTTCCAATGTTATCTTCTAGAATTTTTATAGTTTCAGGTCTTAGATTTAAGTCCTTAATCCATCTTGAGTTGATTTTTGTATAAGGTGAGAGATGAGGATCCAGTTTCATTCTCCTACATGTGGCTAGCCAATTATCCCAGCATCATATGTTGAAAATGGTGTCCTTTCCTCACTTTATGTTTTTGTTTGGGAGGCCTCAATTTAAATATCATTGTCTCAGAAGTCTTGCCTGACTCCGTAGTTCTGATTAAATTATCTTGTTATAAATTCTCGTAGCTCCTTTTTAGTGCTAATCTTATATTACGCTTACCGTTTAATGTCTGTCTTTGCTGCCAGACTCAAAGCCCAATTAGGGCAGGGACAGTATCCATCTAGCCTCCTTCAGTATTTCTTCAGTTAAATAATGAAGTGACTTAGCCTAAATTATTTACAGTACACATGCTATTGGGGTGCCCCTGTCAAAATGATGAAAATGATGATGCTATCTGCAAAGATATATTCAGACACTATTACCATTAATGTCTCATCCCTCTTATTTCTGAGACCAAGGACATGGCATGTGTATTTTGGTAGGGCAGGTGTATTTTGATGAATCAGAAGTGGAAGTCACTGTCTCCAGAGCTCTGATCTTAGATGGGCATCAGATCTGCAGACCCCAAGCTAAAGAAATGTGTAATGAGAGTACTGAGCATCCAGGGTCAGACATCCCAAAACAGAGCAAGAAAAGTAGTGATAAGACAGCAACACATGTGTTTTTCCAATTGTATTTACCTTTCCCCAGAGCTTTGCTTATATTTATCCCTCAGTAGGTAAAGCTAAGACTGGAATGACCAGTGGACAGAGAAGAAATTTGAAGATTTTGTGCTTAAAACAGTCCAAGAACAGGAAACTCTCCTCTTCCCTTCTGGTTAGCAAGGTAACTAAAACACAGTCTTTGTTCATACATTTTTGTTGACTGAATGATTAAAACTTCCTGGAACCCATTGGTTGGCAAAAGCTTATTCTATATTTTTTCATGGACATTATTACTTAATTTGATTTCTTTAAATTTAAGAATCTCTTATGAGCTTATGCCTTTTAGAAATTATTGTACACAACTGAAATCACAAAACAATATTTACCTTTAATGTGTAAAATAAAAACTAACATTTTCTTTTCTATACTTTTTTTAAAAATGCTAATTTTTTAAAAAAGACACATGTGGAATTGATTTCATGACCTATTAATGGATTGTGAAACTTTCTCTTGTAAATTTAGTTTCAAGTACACATACACACACACACACACACACACACACACACACACATTTCTTATATACTGGGTCATTATGTAAAATACATGTATTACCATTACAGGTGGACACATTTGAAAGGTGCTCTTCTAAATCAATGCTGAATTATCTTTCCCAGCTTTTCTTGAAAACATCTGGTATGCCCTGTGCTGCAAACCATCTCAGTCAGGTCCCCAAGCCCATCTGTAGCCTGGAGGGTAATCTCCCTTTTGCAGAAATTACAGGGTTTCTGCACTTATTGTTAATGGGGAGGTCTGTCTTGCTCAGAGGCATCTAGAACATTGGAAGACATTTTCTTTTTCTGGAAAAATATTCAAGAGTGAAGAGTGGCAGAGGACTATGTAACTGATTTGGATGGCAAATTTTTTTTTTAAAAGCATGGCTTGTAAATGTTATTATCCTAGTATTTCTCAAGTATCATGGAGCAGAAGTTAATATAGTTTCATTTTATTAACCAGTTTTCCCTCTTCTTGTTCTTTTAAAAAAATTGTACATTCACAGCCATTAAAAATGAGTGTGTAAGAGCATCTTTCCCATCTGGGCCAAAAGACAACAATAACAAAAGAGGTACTTCCATCATTTAGTCCAACACTGTCAATGTCCTCTAAGATCAGTTACATGAAGGAAAGATAGATGCAAAAAGGAGATTATGCAAGTTGTTACAAAAGCATAATTTAGGCAGTGCTAAGTGTAGGTTAGTGAGGCTAGTTTATAAGAGAATTGATTAGAACATCATCTGCAAACTGCTTCTAACAGATTATAACTGTTTATTTTTCTAGGGCCACATTTCAAACCCCAGACAGTGAACAAACATTTTTCTTTGATTTTTTATTTTGTTCAGTTTTTTTTTGTTTGTTTGTTTTAATTTTGTAAAGCTTAGTCTTCTGAATTTTGACATTAACTTTGTTCCTCAAGAACAAGGTTTGAATTTGATTATTTTTCTGGATAGGGCATATAATAGAACTATTTTATAACTTTTCATTCACAAGTTTTTGCATGCTGGATATGTCCAAAGTACAAAGATATTTGATGGGAGATTCGAGGATGACCTTGACTTTAAGGAACATCTAAAGAAGGCAAATATGTGCCTATTTAAGACCATCTGGTTGGGCATTATAATTGCTGAGAAACTTACACAAAATACAGAAAGCCAAATCCTCTTCACAGAATGTGAATTTCTGAGTAGAGCTCAGGCAGCATTATTTTATAGAAGATTTCCCTATGATTTTAATCTCCAACTCTGGACTCTTGAGATACATTGGGAAATGCCATGTGAAAAGTGTAGAAAGAACAAGGATTGAGAACACACTATAGGCCTTTAAGAACTATTTCTGGCCTTCCCTCACTTAGTGATGATCCTGCGTGGTTTATTAGAAAATGCTTACCTGTGGTATTCACATCTGTAAAATCTTATGAAAAAATACCTCAAAGAGTAGAATAAAGATTAAATTAAGCAATGGGTGTGAATAGACTTTTAAAAATGTAATAAGCTCTGTATATGCTATCATTGCAATAACTAGCTTTTTAAAAATTTTGTTGTTGAAGGAGAATGGTAAGCAAAGAACTGAAGGAAGGCAGACACAGCTGGTAGAAGACATGTGTTGCCCTTTTATCACCACCTTTCTTGTTCTATTTTGTGATCTCTGACCCTAGATGCCCAGTTACCTCATTAAGAATTCCCATGAACATGGTACATAGAGACTAACAATTTGGGTTCTATCTTGAAAGCAATGAGAACTCATGGAAATGATTTTAACATAGAGAGTTATATAGTCAGATCTGTATGTTGGAAGCATCACTCTGAAAGCATCGTGTTGAAGTATGAAAGTGTGAGACAAGACTGGAGGGAAAAAGACTAGTTAGGAAGTTGCAGTAGTAATCTAGGCATGCTTGGATTGATAGGCTATATAACTTTTACAGAATAATAGAATGAGGAGACCATTAGACACTTCTGGCCTGGAAGACTACATAGGTGATTGTACCATCCATCCAGGTACAGAATAAGGAGAAAAAATATATTTGGTTCAGTGGTGGTTGGGGATGGAGGAAATGAACACATAAAATGAGTTTTTGATGGGGTTGAGTTGGAGATGCCAAGAGATAATTGCCAAGAGCAAGTGGATTTATGATTCTAGTGTCCAGGGAAGAGTTCTGAGCTGAAATGTAGATTTGGGAGTCATTAGCAAAAGGATGGAAGTTCAAGCTGTGAAAGTGAATGGAATTACCTAGAGAGAGCATGAAGAGAAGAGGGCAGAGAACATAAACATTGTGAAGAGACATATAAAGGAAGAACCTTCAAGAGACTAAGTAGAATTGGTTGGAGGAGTAGGAAGAAACCCCTGATAGAGCAGTGTCACCTAAAGCAAGGGAAGGGAGAGTACCTATCGGGATAGATTGATTTCAAATGCTGCAAAGATGTCCATTGACATAAGAACCGATAACCACCCATTGGATCTAGCAACAAGAAAGTTATCAAAAACCATGAAAATAGTGCTTTTAGTGTAGTAATGGGAGGAGATACCATATTGAGGTGAAGTAAATAGTGAATATGTGACAGGGAAAGAGACAATGAATGTACACTACTTTTCTCAAATATTAGCTCTGTAAGGAAGGAAAATCTAAAATGACTGTAAGGGAACCTTAGGTCAGAAAAGCATTCATTCTTTAGAAGGTGGATAGTAAGAAAGTAGAGGTAAGGAATTACCCCTTTAAAGAAATTATGCTGAAAAGATGGAGGGCAATGGGTGAGTAACTTAAAGAAGTAATGAGATGCAACATCTTAATATTTTTAAAAGAAAAAAGTAACAAAAGTGATTAAATAAGGAGGGCTACTGAAGGGCAGATAAGCAAGCTTATAGTGATATATTGGACGTTATTAGGGTATAAGAGCAAGTAGAAGAAGTTGAGATTAACAGCATATAAAAATAAAGAATGATAAAAGGGTCAGAACTTAAGGAATACTTTATATAAAAGTAGAGGCAAAGAGGTTATCTAAACTATACCTCATTGAAACAAAGATGTATGGTTTTCATATTTTAATGCTTCTGAAGTTGGAATATACAATCGATGTCAAAATAAATTTGCTAAGCCCAAGAGTGAAAAGTTAGCTTTGATATTATTGTTGTTTTATGTTGTATGAAAACTTAGCTATGTGTAGAAAGTATCTGCCTCTTCAGTTGTTATATGAATTATTTGCATTGGTAGTTCCATATGAGATTGAATTAAATTTGAATCCCTAGTAATTATTTAAAAGGTCTGTTAAAAGGTTGTACTTTGTAATATCTAAATGAACAGCACAATAGTGGGTTCCCTGACATATATCAGGCAGTAAAAATGACCAAATTTCTTAGAATAGATCAAAGTATGTTGAAATTTAGGAGAAATTAATTTGAACAATTATTAAATTTGTGGGAATATTACTTTGATTCCTAATACCAATGGGTCAGTGACATCTAGTCGGTGCTTAAGAGAACATTTTAAAACCTAGTTAATTAAATTAAATGTGACTACAAGTTTAATGAAATAGAAAATACATATGTAATACCAGTATTCTTTTATATGTCTTGAAATTATTTGGTCAATCTTGGAAATTCTGCTGCGGTTAAGATAATGAGCACAATTTTGAAAAAGAAGTCTGTCACTGTGGTGGAGTACATGCCTCTGGATAATCACAATTTAGAAAGATCTTTAGATTTTGTGTGAAGATGGCTCAAATCTACTCGAACTCTGCTTACCTTGAGGAACTCAAGGCTATGTGGCTAAGAGGTTCATGTTCATGAATGCTATTGTGGTTTAGTATGCATTTTATACAGTGACTCAACCTGTCCCCTTAAGCTATTACTACATCCTTTAGTACTTATATTTTGGCCCAGCTCAAGAATAACTAACAGAATGAATGAGTTTTAATTTAACATACTACCTATCACACCTATCATCAACTCAAGAAAATGTCATGTAGGCTGGGCATGGTGGCTCATGCCTGTAATCCCAGCACTGTGGGAGGCTGAGGCGGGAAGATCACCTGAGGTCAGGAGTTCAAGACTAGCCTAGCCAACCTGGTGAAACCTTGTCTCTACTAAAAATACTAAAATTAGCTGGGTATAGTGGTGTGTGCCTGTAGTCCCAGCTACTTGGGAGGCTTAGGCAGGAGAATCACTTGAACTCGGGAGGCGGAGGTTGCAGTGAGCCGAGATCACACCACTGCACTCCAGCATGGGTGACAGAGCGACACTCAAGAAAAAAAAAAAATGTCATGTAGTGAGTGAATTGTCATCAGAAGTACTTCTGCTGCTTTCTCAGTGTTAGAAATCACTCCTTCTCCCAGACCCTCCCTCAACCAGCCTACTACTAACTCACAGCCTACCAGCTTTTCAATTGGCCTTCCCCTTCCCACTGGTTCTCCATCTCTAAACTTATCAAAATTTCCCTGTCCTGTGTCCTATTTCTCTATGACCTATTGTCTGTAGCACTAATGTATAATACATTTTTAAACTTTTTATCACTTACTCTGCTTTTAAATCCCACTAAAAAAAAAGCAGTCATAGTGGAAATTTCAGGCTCCAAGGTGCAAGAGCTTAATATTAAAAGCCATTAGTTCTTTGTCCACTATAAAATGATAGAGGTAGAACTCAGTTGATGTTGGTGGAGAAAGAGGGAAAGAGAGAGACATTTGGGGAGGAGGTTTTATGTATAAATAGGTATGATAATCTTGAAATCTAATAATAGATAACGAACTCAGCTTTTGTGAATATCTGCAGAGCATATATCTTGGTGAAATTGTTTATTTTCTTCTGAGAGTTAAGATCTGTTTTTATTTTTATACTCTGGGGCATGAAAATATAGAGAAGGAAAAATAATCCAGTATTTAAAAATTATTTCATATACACATATATACATATGTATACACACATACATATATACAAATATGCATATTATATAAGCTTGTGAGAATCCAGAAATACTCCTTTGGCCTGAAGATAGGTGCTGGCAGCTCAAGGAAAGAATCATCTCCATAGATGGTGTACTGGAAGCAATCTTCTTACCAAGGAGTGGCGGAAGCCAAGTGTCCCAGCACCTCATGCTCTTGCCATCCTGACCACTATGTTGAGACAAAGAGCATCTTCCTGGGAGTCCCAAGGAAACTGACCCAAAGCAGCAGAAGTATTTACAGTGGGTACTTCTCTGTTGTAGCATCCTGCCCTACTCTGCTTTCTCAGAGCGTCCAGAATGCATACAGTGCTTTAAGTACGAAACAATATTAGTTTGAAAAACCTGGAAAGCAAGAAGGACCAATAGGCTAGAACTCCAATATGTAAAACAAGTTTCAAAAGAGCAGAAATGTTGGCTGGTTCTTGAATTGAGAAGGCAAATGTGTGAAATGTTCACAATGGTTCTAAGCAAAAGTCTTGAGGTTGCCATTACAGTATCTGCTCCGTTGTTAAGCAGCTAGTTACTGTCCCTAAGCCTGAGTCTTTTTTCACCTCCAAAAGAAAGGATATTTGACAGTGTTAAGCACTGAAATCAATTTCCTATAGTACAATTTATGGTAGAACATTGGACTATGTAGCTTTGGAAGTTACAAAACCATTTTTTCTCGCCAGTCTTCTGTATTTGCTCTGATAGATCCTGATTTGTCCTTGTTTCAGGATTTTCTTATATGCCAAGCAATTTATGTCAAGCTATGGTTTGGCTTCTGTCTGTCCAAGTTGTCTCTGAACATTTTTTCCTTCAAAGTTGAATATATTACATCCTTCTCATGCACTTAAAATAAACAACATGGTTAGAAAAAATTATTAATTGCATCTGGAATCCTTGTCTTAGAATTATGTTCATAACTAGAGCCTTACTGGAATTTGTACATGTGTAGAAGAGCATAATAAATTTGGAATTTACTGATGATTTTACTTTATTTGGTTTGCAAAATGCACCCTTAAGTGAGCCTGGAGCCTCATTTAATGTGGGATTCTGTTCTAAGTGAATGGAAAATGCAAGGGAAAAATTAAATAAAAGAACAATATAATCAGCTGAAACCAAAATAGACGGGAATCGGGATTGAGACTGTGAGGATAAAGAAGGGGTGAGCAACAGAGTGAGGGTAAATAAGCACCAGAAGCATTTACTAGCCCACATTATTTATTTATTTTTTCCTAGCCAATCTGCCTTTCTGTGGGGTCATGGGTAATAAAAGAAATAAAACCAGTAGGTCCTGCTTCCCAAGCAGTAATTCAGAAGTGGCACAATCAGTTAATATTAGGCAGCTGTGGTTGGCACAGAGCGTAATAATAATGTAGTGAGCTGGAAGGGGCCTTAGAAAGGGAGTTGTGCCCAAGATAAACCTAGACAAGCAACTGGTGACCAACAAAATTTTCACCCATGGTTTCTGATTTAGATCCAGACTCATTTTCACCACACTTCCCAACAGAGAAAGAAAATAAATCTAACTAATTTGCAAAAGAAATAACTCAAAGCAAACAATAAAACATCATAAACAAGGGAAATAGCTCAAAACTAGAAGTCAGTGAGATAAAATGGGCTATTTGACTGAATTCTTTCCTCGGCTCAGCTTTATTACTAATGGAATCAGAGTTGATCCTTACCATTCCCCCTGCCAAGCTCTCAAAGAAAATCATATCATGTTGAACATCCTTGCTTTTGACCCAGAACAATTTGAGTCTTTCTTTCCTCTGACTGTTTCACATTTTGTATTTCACAGTAACAGTAGCGGACCTCTAACAGTAGTGGACCCAGAACATCCTGCTCTCCATGATAAACTTCCAGGCCAGAAACTTTCCTATAACATAACACAATGCTGGTATCAGGATGAGCAAACAACAAGGCTTAAGTGAATTATCAGTGTCTTTTCAAGCTGACTTTTAGCTAATCTGGATTATATTATAAAACCTGATTCCTCAGACTCTTAGCTTCCTTACTCAAAATTTCTAAATATCAGACTGCATTTTGGGGGAAGGAGCTGTACTCACATTCATTGTTGTACTTTTTAAAAGGCTCTGTAATGAGATATAAAGATTTGACTCACATTTTGAAATGGACTAACCAGTTTTCCATGTTAAAAAACACATATTTTTTCTTTCAGAAACAGAATCTAACATATCATACATTCCTTAGGTATCTATTCAGCCTTCAGAATCTGGGATATTCTTTCTATCTATCTATCTATCTATCTATCTATCTATCTATCTATCTATCTATCTATCATCTATCTATCCATCTATTTTGAATGAAGTGATAACCATAGGAAGATATGACAGTATTTTTAAGGATAAACTTTAGAGTTACTTTTTCCTTGTAGCTAAGGAAAGCATCCAACTTTTGTGTGTGTTGACTAGTTTCTAATGGACCAAATCATTCTTAAAGCAATCCCTTAGATGCTCAACGAAGTGTTAGAAGCTGCTAAAAATGATTTCCAATTTCCAAAAAAAATTCTTTGCATTCAGATTTAGATAGAAACATCTTGAGTGGGATTTTCTTTGCCTTGGACCAGGCTCGAGGCGAAGAAAATAATTATGCTCTTTTTTGTTCACAATTCTGAAGCTAATGGTATACTTTTTGCAGCTTGTGGGCAAGTCAGATTTCATGTTAAAATATTTCAAATTTTATAATAGGGTCCACTAACTATCGTCTTTTTCCATGGAGCTAAACTGTTATATTCCACGGAATTATATTGAAACCGGAATCTATGAGTCACATTTGAATTCATCTCTTTAAAATACATGGTAACCCTTTATTTTTTTTTAATCCATCTTCTCATAAAACAACCCTGGTTAGCCACTTTAATGAGCAATTTTGTACCTACTTTTATTTCTTAATGAACTTTTCCCCTCTGGCTGAATCCTAGTCTCATAGTTTATTTTCATTGCTATAGTGACATCGGTCAGGGACAGCTCTGTAAAATTAATCATCACATTAGACCAGGCTTCAGCAAGAATTCTTTTCTGAAAGAAAGGAAGTCCCATAATCCCACTTGTATACCCACCTCTGGTGTTTTGTTTTGTTTTTTTTCACCCTAAAGATTGAGTTCCATAAATCAATGAGACATAGCAAGTTTGAGACAGAGTAGAAAATAGAGCAACATTCTAATAAGCCAAAAGCATAAGATGTTTGCTTTCTTTCATGTTTATATATTGGTTAGTTAAAACATATTATAAATTATTGCTGAATTAGGTTGCTAAGTATTTTAAAGGAAAGGATTCAAGTTAGTTATGACTTGTATAACTTCTTAAGTAAATTTATGCAATAAATCGAGATGCTGATTCAAAGGCTTAATGGGGGTAAGCATGTCGGTTGACCACTCAGCTTCTCTTAACCATAGCTGAATCACAGATTTCAGCAGACATGACTGAAATAATCACTTTTCAGAGACTTGGATTTGAAACAGTTGTCTTTGTGAAACACTTATCAACTCTGTCCCCAAGTGCCAAGTCATTAATTCCTACTGAAAATTTTTTTTAGATGATTTTGAAGTGAGCTTTTAAAGTAAGAGAGTGAGAAAATCTGTTGGCTAAAAATCAAACTTGTTTGTTGAATAGTAAATTATTAAGTTAGGTATCCAGTACCCAGTGGATTAAACAAATCCGCTTTTATAGGGGAAAGTAATTTGGGCAGTTAAAAAACATCATTGTCCCTACGCTCCCTCTCCCTGCCTTCATTCAACTCCTATTAGTTTCATTCCTGGATTGGTTATTTTGTTCATATGGCATAGTATCTTACAACATTTTATTGTTGTTTTGCTAGAGACCATTGATGGAGTTATTTCCTTCTTGCATTCAATAATTCAGAGTTCTAATAGGAGCCTCTTTTCTGTACAATAATCTCTGATTTACGGCTCCTACCTTCCAGGGTATAAACCCTGCATTTCCTGTGCACCAAAGTGTTCAAGGCCTCAAAAAATCAGAGGCTCCAAGAAATCCAGTGATTTGCTGATTTACAGCTGATTGGCTCTAGAACTTAGTTCTCTTCACTCCCAGGACAACTTTCTATGAGCTTCTATTATAATCTCTCTTTTGTTTATTGCTCAATCACAGAGATATCTTGTCACATCTTCTTTTATTTGGGATACTGGGAGCAATGGCAAATTTGAAAATTTCCTCACATCTCTCTGAATCCTAGTCTGATCCAAAAACCTTTCACTACTCATACCTAAGCCATCTTTTACCTACTGGCTTTGGATTGTGTTAAATGCCTCTGGGAATGGGAAGGCATATACCCTAAGTTGTTAACAATAATGTACATATCAGTACATAATATACATAACAGTAATGAAATAACCTTTTTAGCTGAAGCAGGGAAGTAGGTTTTGTTAGTAGGGTAGACAATTAGAGCAAAAAGCCAGGAGGGAAGGATATATTAATAGTTGCTGTCAAAGATAAGTTTCTCCCCTTCTCTATCACTCTGGATCATTTAACTGTGGGGAAGCAGTATATTCTACCTTTTTATTAATTATTTTTTTTAAAATAAATTTTATTATATATATTTAAGGTATGCAACATGATGTAATGTGATTCATATAGATAGTAAAATGATTACTATTGTGAAACAAATTAACATATCCATTATCTCACATAGTTACCCATTGTTTTGCTTTTGTTTTTGTGGCAAGAGCAGCTCATATCTACTAATTTAGCAGGAATCCCAAATACAGTACAATTTTGTTACCTATAGTCTTCATGGTGTACATTACATCTCTAGACTTGTTCATCCTACATACTGCTACTTTCTGTCTTTGGACCTACATCTTCCCATTTTCTCCCCCGACCCCTACCTCTGGTGAACACTGTTTTATTCTTCATCTCTGTTTATTTGACATTTTAAAAAATATCCCACATATAAGTGAGATCATGCAATATTTTCTTTGTGTGTCTGGCTTATTTCACTTAGCATAATGTCCTCCAGGTTCATCCATGTTGTAGCAAATGTCAAGATCTCATTCTTTTCTAAGGCTGAATAATATTCCAATGTAAGCATATTTATCCATACATTTGCATACAAATATGCATGCATATTTATGCATACATTGGAATATATATCACATGTATATAACAACTTCATTATCTGTTCATCCCTCAGCAGACACATAGGTGGTTTTCATGTCTTGGCCATTATGAATAATGCTGCAATGAAAATAAAAGTGCAGCTATCTTTATGAGGTAGTGGTTTAATTTCCTTTGGGTATATGCCCAGAAGGGGGATTGCTGGGTGATACAGTAGTTCTATCTTTAATTTCTTTAGAAACCTCCATACTGTTTTCCACAATGGCTGCACCAACCTACATTTTCACAAATACTTACAAGGTTCTTTTATCTCCACACTCTTGTCAACATTTGTTATCTTCTGGCTTTTTGATAATAGCTATCCTAACATGTGATTTGGTATCTCATAGTGGCTTTCATTTGCATTTTCCTGATGATTAATGATGTTGAGCAACTTTTCACATACCTGTAGGACACATTTTTGTCTTCTTCATAGAAATGTCTATTCAGGTCCTTTTCCCATTTTTAAACTGAGGCATTTGTTTTTCTACTTTTGAGTTGTATGAGTTTTAAAAGGAAATTTTGGATATTCACCCCTTATCAGATACATAGTTTGCAAATATATTTTCCCTATCCATAGGCTGCTGTTTCATTTCATTGATTGTTTCCTTTGTTTTGCAGAAGATTTTTAGCTTGGTTTATTTAATTTTGGTTTTGGTGTATCATGGGATTTTAAATGATAGCATATCATGTCTTTGCATGTGCTCCTCTTTTTTTCCCCCTAATACTACTGTCCTCACAAATAAATTAATATTCCTATCCTGACTGCTTGCTTTGGCCTGGACACTTGTCAGTACAAATAGAAAGTAGAAGAGGAGGCAGGGGGAGAAGAGAGGATAGAGAAACACTTGCTGCTACCCCACTTTGAAATGCCTCTTGATACTCCACATCAAGATAATGATGGTCACTGTTTATTGGTGGCACCTTTCAGTAGCATTGCTGAGCCTACTCCTACTTAACCTGCTTCTCCTGAATCAGAGTGTTTTGGGAAATTACACTGACTTGTAGTATTGGGGTGTGATTTTTAGTCACCAGTTATTGCAATTAGCCAACTATGGATAGTTGATTCTTTTAAATCCCAAAAACTTCGAAGAAAAATTTCAAACAAGCAGCAAAGTTGAAAGAATTAATTTTACAGTAAACACCCATATACCTACCTACTACATGCAATTAATGACAATTATGCTGGCTTTATTACATTTCCATCCTTCTATTAATTTCTCTATTCATTCAGTATTTCATCTTATTTTTTATGCATTTCAAATTAAATTGCAGACATCAGTTCAGTCCCTCCTAAATATTTCAATACACATATGATTCGCAAGGGCTCAATATTTGTCAATCTCTGCCCTTAAACTCCCAGTGGAAACCACTGTTCTAATTTTTTCCTCCATAGAGAATCATTTTCAGTTCTAGAATCTTATATTGTTGGAATCAAATAAAATGTGCTCATCTGTGTAAATTTTTCTTAACACACATAATGTTTTTGAGATTCATCCATGTTGTTGCATGTGGTACTACTTTGCTCTTTTTTGCTGCTGAGTGATATTCCATTCTATGAATATACCACAGTTTACCCATTCTCCTATCGAGGAACAACTGAGCTGTTTCCAGTTTTTTGCTACTATGAATATAGCTAAAGCTGCTGTGAGTATTCTTGTACAAGTTTTTTTGTTAATGTTTTAATTTATCTAAGGTAAATGCTTGGGAGTTAAATTGCTGGTTATAGGGTGTGTATACGTTTAGTTTTAGATTTATTTTTCCAGAGTTGCATGGGTATCTTGATGTTCTACATCCTCACCATACTTGTGGGTGTCAGTTTCTGATTTAACCATTCTGGTGGATGTGTATTGGTATTTCATTGTGGTTTAGTGTGCAGTTCCCTGGTTATTAATGATGTGTAGCAGTTTTTCAAGAGCTATGGGCCATTTGTATATCTGTTTAAATGTTTTGGCTATTTATTACTGGGTAGTTTATCTCTTTATTTTTGTTTTGTAGTAGTTCTTTAGTTTTCCTAGATACTATTCCTTTGTCAGATATATATTTTGCGAATATTTCCTCATGCTCTGTGGATTGACTGCTACTTTTATTGAAAGTTGATGGTGTCTTATAACTAGTGGGAGAGTTTTTAACTTTGACAAAGTCTAAATTATCAATTATTTATCTTATAGTTATTGATTTTTGCTGCCTAAGAAATCTTCACCTACCCCCAAGCCCTGAATATCGACTCTTATATTTTTCTTTAAAAGCTGTACTGTTTTAGATTTATGTTTAGATCTGTGTTCCATCTCAAATGTATTTGTATGTATGGTATAAGTTTGGGCCTGAAGTTGTTTTTTTTTTTTTCCCCATATCAGTAGCCAGTTATTTCAACACCATGTGCTAAAAATACATTTTTTTTTTTCTCATTTGGACTGCTTTGGTGCCTTTGTCAAAAAGCAAATAACTGTATAACTGTGGATTTATGTCTGGGCTCTCTCTTCTGTTCCATTTGTCTATTTGTCTATCCTTATGGCAGAGCCACACTGTCTTGATTACTGTAGCTTTAATAGCAGGTCTTGGAATCAGGTGGTGTAAATCCTCCAACTATGTTCCTTTTGTCAAGATTGCTTTAAATATTTTAAGTGCTTCGAATTTCATGTAAATTTTAGAACCAGTTTAATTTCTAAAAAAAGTCTATGGGATTATAAATGGTCTGCATTGAATCTATCAATCAATTTTGAGATAATTGACATTTTAAAAACTTTTTATTTTGAAATATTTTTAATGTTATAGGAAATTCACAAAAATTTGACAGAATTCCCACATGCCTCTTAACCTAGCTTCTCCTAATACAAACATCTCACATCACTGTATTACAATTATTAAGTCCAGGAAATTAGCATTGATATAATACTTTAAAATAAACTGTATCTTAATAATACGAATCTGCCAATCCAGGAACATGGTACATATCTCCATTTGTGTTGTTTTTAGATTCCATCATAATATTTTATAGTTTTTAGGGTAGAAGTTCTTAAATATCTTTTGTTAAATTTATTTCTAGCTATTTTATATTTTTGACATCATGATAAATGAATTTATTTCATTCTTCAATTGTTTGCTGCTAGCATATACAAATACAATTGAATTTCTTTTTTAATTTTTGAAACAAGGTCTCACTCTGTTGCCCAGGCTGGAGTGCAGTGGTATGATTATGGCTCACTGTGGCCTCGACCTGCTAGACTCAAACCATCCTCCCACCTCAGTCTCCTGAGTAGCTGGGACTACAGGTGCAGGCTAACATGCCCTGTTAATTTTTTAATTATTCTGTAGAGATGAGATCTCTCTATGTTGCCCAGGCTGGTCTTGAAGTCCTGAGCTCAAATGATCCTTCTGCCTTGGCCTCCTGAAGTGTTGGGATTATAGAGGTGAGCCACCATATGTGGCCTGATTTTCTACATAAACAATATCATCTGAAAATGCAAACAGATATATTTATTTCTTGCCTATCCTTGACTTATTTCTAATTTTTTTTGCCGTTAAGTATGATGCTAGCTATGGTTTTTTTTTGTTTGTTTTTTTTTTTGTAGGTATGCTTTACAGGTTGAGGAGGTTTTCTTCTATTCATGGTTTTCATTGATTTTTTTTTTAATGAATGGGTGTTGATTTTTGTCAAATGCTTTTCTACACCTTCTGAAATGATCATATAGCCAGTCTCTTTTGTTCTCTTAACATGATTTTCATGTATTAAAACAACTTGAAATTTCTAGGACAAACACTACTTGATCATGATATATTACCCTTTTTATATATTACTAAATTTAATTTGCTAATATTTTGTTAAGCATTGTTGGGCCTATGTTTATGAGGGATATTATTCTGTAAATTTATTTATTTGCAGTGTCTTCATTAAGCTTTTATGTTATGTTGTTCTCATAAAATAATTTGGGAATTATTTTTTCACCTCTATTTTCCAAAATAATTTTTATAAGATTGGTATTGTTCTTTTTCTTAAATGGAAAGAATTCACTGTTGACATCAGCTAATCCTAGCATTTTCTTTGTGGGATTAAAATATATATAATGAATTCCAATTCTTTAATACATACAGGGCTAATTTCTTATTTCTTTTTGGGTAAGTTGTGTTTTTCATATAATGTATACTTTTCATGTAGGTTATCAGATCTGTTGCCATAAATGTGTTTCCCCAACTCTGGGTGGACATATTACCTAGACGATTTGGGAAGAGGTAATAGGGAAAGCAGGCAAAATAGCTCTCCTCCAGCCCACCTATGAGGACAGTTTCCGGTATTTGACATTCTTGCTACTTGAGTTTGCTAGAACAAATTCTCATAGGCTATCTTTCCCCACTCTATTTACTCTTTTCCGCACAGAATATTCTCCTACTCTGCTTCCAGATAAAGGTCAGCAAAGGTAGGCAAATCTTATGGATTTTGACCAGAGAACTTTCAGCTCTGCGGGGAATATGTTATTTATGGTGTCCCACCTGCTTTTTCTCCTGAAGCTACTATCTTATTTAGCAGGTTTTATATTTATGTTCTCATTTGTTTTTGTGATAGATCTGGATCATTACTGATCCTCGTTTTCTCATCTGCTCTTTAACTAGAGAAAATGCGTGGTAAAATCTTATAATTTTTTATTTATTAGCTCAGCTTCATGGAAGGTGGGACTACTTTTCTAGAACTGATATTCTGGGAATGCTATTATTTACTAAACTTTGTATTTTCCCTTCTCCTTTCTCCTTCCTAACCACTTCCTTCATCCTGAATGTTCCTGGAGAAGTGTAAGTAGGACTGTGTGTGTGTGTGTGTATGTGTGTGTGTGTGTGTTTAATTGGAAATATGCTGTGGCACATATTACTACTATTGATGATATCCAGTTCTTCTCTATTTCTGAGCATATGGATAGATTGTATTTCTCCATTTCTTTTCAGTTAGATAGGGCTATATGCAATAATTTGACCAGTAAAATGTTAGCATGATAGATATGATGCGTGCCACTTCTGGGTAGAAGCGTTTAATTGCAGGTGCCCAGTACCCATTCTCTACTCCTCCTACTGCAGTTGAGAGAGCATGTGTTGATATACAGGTTCACTTCTCACATTTGCTACTTTTGTTGTTGGAATGCTACTGATAGATTGTTTGACATTATGTTTTCTTCTTTATTTTCAGTAGGTTTGTGTTCTGAAGTGTGGTCCTGTGAGCAGTGTCAATATGCCATCTTACTCCATATGTCCCAATATTAGCATCTAAAAAAATCCAAACTGTTCCGATTTTAAAAATTGAAGAAAAGTTAATTTATATTCACTAAGGAATATTTCATTCCTGGCACTGCTATGAATAATAGCTCATCCCCTCTCTGCTATCCAGCCTAACACAACAAAACAGTTTTCATACTCAACACTAAACTCATTTACACACAGCTAAAATAACGAATAAAGGAGTAAGAACATGTTTGGGGAAGAAAAAAATAAGCTTATTTTGAACTTACCAAGTTTGAGGTGCTGTAGAACATTAGCATAAAAGTATGGGTTTGTATCTTAGGAAAGAGAAGATAGCTTAAAGTGCAGATTAAAGAATCACAAACATAAATATAGCAGCTGAAACATGAGACAAAGTGCTTTAGCTAAAATTCATAATGCAAGAGGAAAATAAAGAAAAGAAAAGAAAAGAATAAGCCTCTGGAAATTACGCTTACAAGGACCTACAGAGTTGTAGGAATCAGCCAAGAAGCTGCAAAACAGGGAGGTGAACCAAGAGAGAATAGAAAAAAATGATGGGGTTTTAAGATGGATGCACTAAAGTATCAATGGAGGAAATGAGTTCAATTAGAATGAGTACAAAAACTGTGCCACAAGATTTGACTATTAATTTGTAATCATGGTAACAGCTATTTTGGAATGATTAAAGTAGAACCCAGAGTTTAACTCTTGATATTATTTTAAGAGCATGTGCAAACTGCAATCTGAAATTTTCATAGATGTTTATAAAGGATCTTTCATTTTGGCCAGGAACTAGCATTTTGAAGATTCTACATCTGCAAAGATTATATAGTTCCAAAACAACTATCATCCAGTTAAATGTCTTCTATGCTCCAGGTGGTGTTTCAGGCCCTGGGGTTGCAACAATAAGTGGAATAAAGGCCCTATGTTGATGGTGCTCAACCTAGTCATAGAATGAATGATGAAGAATAATCTAGCGTTGTTGGTATAGTGGTAAGCATAGCTGCCTTCCAAAGATGAAGAATAATCTAAATTATATCATTTTGAAATACTCAACAGGAAACATTATTCCTAGAAGCATACAATATAAAGAAGAAACATCTTAAAAGCTGTCAAAGGACATTCATACATGCATTAAAACAATCAACTGGGTGATTTTCCAGATGTAAATATTTCTTTTGAAAGCATATAGTTTTTTTTAATTTTAAATTTGGTTATTTGTTTTCATTTATTTTTTAATTTTAAGTTCTGGGGTACATGTGCAGGGTGTGCAGATTTGTTACATAGGTAAATGTGTGCCATGGTGGTTTGCTGCACCCATCAACCCATTACCTAGGTATTAAGCCCAGCATGCATTAGCTATTTTTCCTAATGCTCTCACCTTGCCTCCCTCCCCCAACAGGCCCCAGTGTGTGTTGTTCCCCTCCCTGCATCCATGTCTTCTCACTGTTCAGCTCCCACTTAAAAGTGAGAAGTGGTGTTTTGTTTTCTGTTCCTGCATTAGTTTGCTGAGGAGAATGGCTTCCAGCTCCATCCATGTTCCTTCAAAGGACATGATCTTGTTCTTTTTTATGGCTGCATAGTATCCCATGGTATATGTGTACTACATTTTCTTTGTCCAGTCTATCCTTGATGGGTATTTGGGTTGATTCTATGTCTTTGCTATTGTGAGTAGTGCTGCAATGAACATATGTGTGCATGTATTTTTACAATAGAATGATTTATATTCCTTTGGGTATATACTCAGTAATGGGATTGCTGGGTCAAATAGTATTTCCAGTTCTAAATCTTTGAGGAATCACCACACTGTCTTCCACAATGGTTGAACTAATTTACATTCCCACCAACAATGTAATAGCATTTCTATTTCTCCACAACGTCACCAATATCTGTTATTTTTTGACTTTTGAGTAAGGGCCATTCTGACTTGTATGAGATGGTATCTCATTGTAGTTTTGATTTGCATTTCTTTAATGATCAGTGATGTCAAGACTTTTTTTTTTCATATGATTGTTGGCCACATGTATGTCTTCTTTTGAGAAGTGTCTGTTCATATCCTTGATCAACTTTTAATGGGGTTGTTTGTTTTTTTCTTGTACATTTGTTTAAGTTCCTTACAGATGCTGGATATTAGACCTTTGTCAGATGCATAGATTGCAAAAATTTTCTCCCATTCTGTAGGTTGTCTGTTTACTCTGTTGATAGTTTCTTCTGCTGTGCAGAAGCTCTTTAGTTTAATTGGATTTCATTTGTCAATTTTTGTTTTTGTTGCAATTGCTTTTGGCATCTTTGTTATGAAATCTTTGCCTGTGCCTGTGTTCTGAATGGTATTGCCTAGGTTGTCTTCCAGGAATTTTATAGTTTTGGGTTTTACATTTAAGTCTTTAATCCATCCTGAGTTAATTTTTGTATATGGTGCAAGGAAGGGGTCCAGTTTCACTCTTCTGCATATGTCTAGCCAGTTCTCCCAGCATCATTTATTGAATAGGGAATCCCTTCCCCATTGCTTGTTTTTGTCAGGTTTGTTGAAGATCAGATGGTCGTAGATGTGCAGTTTTATTTCTGAGATTTCTACTCCATTTCATTGGTCTATGTGCCTGTTTTTGTACCAGTACCATGCTGTTTTGGTTACTGTAGCCTTGTAGTATAGTTGGAAGTTGGGTAGCATGATGCCTCCAGCTTTGTTCTTTTTGCTTAGGATTGTCCTTGTTATATGACCTCTTTTTTGGTTCCATATGAATTTTAAAATACTTTTTTTCTAATTCATTGAGGAATGTCAATGGTAGTATAATGGTAATAGCATTGAATCTATAAATTGCTTTGGGCAGTATTGCCATTTTCATGATATTGATTCTTCATATCCATGAGCATGGAATGTTTTTCCATCTGTTTGTGTCCTCTCTGACTTCCTTGAGCAGTTGGAAAACACACTTCAGAAAAGCTTATAGTTTGAACTTGAATTTCCTATCTAGTTATTAGGTGAAATCAATGCTTTTCTAATGATGTTAGATTCACACACAAAACAAATTTATTAGCTGGCTTCATTTGAAGCTGTTCTGACTACCTATATGCCACCACCAAAAAAAAAAAAAAAAAAAAAAAAAAAGAACAAAACAAAACAGAACCTTGGAGGAGAAAACCACAAAGACAAAATTCAGTACTGACTGTCAAGGTAGTATGATGCTTCCATTTCAATTATGTCCAAGAAACTTCCAAAGTAATGTCTCATTAACCAATTGAGCCATAGAGAAGAAGTTAAAGTCATTTTTCCAGAGATCAACTTTTGACCTACCCTTAACATATTTCGGTTATCCCCTATTCATTTATAATTGTTATATTTAAGTAGTCTTCAGTTATTCACTTTCTTATTTTACATCATCACAAAGAATGACACCTAAATACATTATTATGGAAACAATTATTGTTATCAAAAATATATTTATTTTTATCAAAATAATATTTTTTGCTAGGTCACTTGTGCCATTTAGGAAGAATCTGAAAAAATATTAAGTCAATGTATTTTCCACTACATGGACTCAATGTATTTACCACTTCATGGACACTTTATGGACAATCACACTGAAGCAAAGAAAAAATTTGATCATTGCTAATTAACACATTGTATGAGAAAACAGAACTTTTTGAAAATATGTGTAAAAAACATTCACTGCTGATTCTCAAGACACATTTCACATCATGACTGCTTTTTACTCATTTGAAACACTGTCTATGCACTTCATAGAGTAAAGGTACATCATGTGCAGTTAAATCTGTAGATCTCATGTCCTACAAATGTCAACCTTGATATCAGCCTCTCCTTTTGGTGCCATTTCATTCCAGTAATAAACAAGTTTAGGGAGATATCAGGGAGGGAATTGTTGCCCCTTAAAATAATTCTGTGCACTGCTTTTAGGAAATAAATGGAAGATACCTTTAAAATGTATTTCTGAATATATATTTTTACCTGTTGCCACTGACTTAGATCATGGAATTAGAGCAGTGCACATTTCTAAATTAAATTTCAATTTGACCTGAAATTAATGGGCATCTACTTAGGAGAACTATGGTCAGTATATCTGGTTCAAAGATGAGTAACCAAAAGCCTTCACTAAATATATTTATCGCTTAAGAGTGAGACCAATTAAATATAAGTTATCCACCATCTGAAAGCAAGTCTAGATTTTTAAAAATACAACATGACAAATATATTTGAAGGTAAACAGAGTAGGCCCTTTACATGTGCAAAGACTACGGGCTGAGACCTTCAAACACTGTAAATTTATGAATGCCACTAGAACACCAACTTTATTAGAAACAGTTCAGCTAGTCTTGCCCTGCTCCTGGATTTTTGTTTGACTGACTAAATATAGTCAAAGAATTATTGTCTTGCACCTCAATGGCCTGGAGTTTTTATGGTAGAATAAATACTGCTTAGTCTCAAAGCTTGCTGTGCTCCCATCAAATACACTCCCATCCATCCAGGGCTACCTGAAATCCTACCCATGCTTCTCATTCTTGGCTATGGATGTTCTGAAAGCCACCCCCCACCCCTCTGCTTTTTTTTGCATTATAGGTCAGTTTCATCTTTTTCCAAGACATTTTCCTTACACTAATATTTCTCCTCTATGAATTTTTAGTTCTCAGTGAAAATCCTTGTATAGCAATTTGGTCAGCTGATGCTGCCCCTTCTATTAACTCTGTATTTATGCAAAAAAGCCAAACTTCTCAAAGTTTGAAGTTTATCAACCTGCTCTTACTTGTAATAAAGATTAATTTGTAAACTGTTGACTTCATCTCACATTGCTTCTCTTTACTGGTGCCTTTTAAAAAAATAAAAGCACATGTCCGTATAGAATTCTAATCATTCTGTGCATATACTTAAGCTACAATCAACTGAAGTTGACCAAATTGTGATTAAATAAAATAAGAGTATTTAATAAGGTGTTTCTACTGATCAAAGCAGACTCCCTATTCAATTTTTCTTTTGTGGACACATTCTTCAAAGGTGTCATGGCATTCAGCAATCTGTCCCCTGAATAGTTTATAAGTTCAGTATTCACTCTAAAATAAAAACTAAGACAAACAAAAAACCACTTTGCTTTCTCTTTACTTCTGTCTTTAGCACTAAAACTTGATTTAGAGAATCAGGTAATTTTTTTCAAAAGAACATATTTTTATCACTTCTTGACAATTTCTACCATGCTTGATACCAGAGAAGAGAAATAAGGCCACTTTGAGATGCAGAGGATAGGTATCTGACTAGACTCACTCCTGCATATCAGTCTGTGAAGCATATTATACAAGGAAAAACAAAGAATCATCTGAGAGTTGGGGTGGTTCTATGATTGTTAAACAAAAATATATATCAACAAATGGGGCATGCATTTTAACCTGCTATAGGCTCATTGTTTCTACATATTTTTGATATGACTAAGAAATTTTCTACAAACTACCCAATCCATGTGAAATTAAAAACATATATATATATATATATATATGGACAATTACCATGAGATTACAATGGGAAATAAAAATATCATCTTTGAGGCAGGGAATAGTATATGCTGACTAATGAAATTTTCTAATAAACACCATTTGAGTAGAGTAATTATCTAGATCAAGCAAAGTAGGGCTAGTGTGGTCAAAATTGACTTTCAGGCCTACACAATTATTTCTCTCTCCATTACATGTTTATGCAAACAGTGTCTTAGCAAAAATACCTCCTTAAAGTTGTAAATAAAACACTAAATGTAGCATCATATTGTAAAAGAGGCTTCAAAGAAACATGTAAGTCAGATATTTCTGAAGACACCACATTCACAAAGGTTTCTAGTAAGCAGAAAGCCTTCCATGGGGGCTTCAAAGCCCAGAGGTTCTGATGAGTGTTTGTAGGAACCCCCGAGACATGGACCCTCTGAGGACCTTTTGGCCTTGTATCCTAATAATAGCCTCCATAATATGACCTTTAAGAGCCCATTAAAGGCCATGAGTTACAATAATAATTGACTAATGTAGACATTCCTCCTAAGCCAGTGCTTGCATAGGCAGGTGGGAGGGGGATGGGAAGTGGTAATTATATTATTACTCTTTATTTTCAGTTCTCTCTTTTCCATATTTATTACATCTCAAAATGCAATCATTAAAGGATAAAACCTCAGATAGGAAGTAATAATTATAATAAAAACAATAGCTATCATTTATTTAATATGTAGTATACCTACAATGGCAAGCACCAAGTTCATAAGCACATTTAAACCCATCAACAACTCTTGGAACTCAGAGTAAAGAGTATCATTATAATAGGTGAAAAATCTGAGCCTTGAACTCATGAAGAAGCTTGCCAAAGTCACACAGGAACTCAACTCTTCCTATTGTCAGAGTGAAAGTTCTGAAACACTATGCTTGCTTTTATTGCTACGATGGCCAGTTATTAAGCATGAAAACAAATACAACTCTATGCAGAACTAAACAAAATATTCTTTTTCTTTCTTCCTATTCTTGTTCCAGCTTAAAGATATATGTATGTATGTATCTATCTATCTGTGTGTGTGTATGTGTGTGTAAAACCCTACTATAAGTAATTACTGATTTTTACTTTATTTATTTATATTCCAATGTAATTTAGCTGAATGTCCAGACTACTCTTTTTAAAAAAAAAAACCAAACTACAGGGTACAAATTTAAATCTCATGTTAATAAAGCAACTTATATGGCTATTTAAAAGAATAACATAAAATATTATTTTGAATAATAGCACCATAAGACATTATCATTTTGTATTATTTATGATGGCATTTAAAATATGGTAGTGCTATGTGACTATTGCCTATTGTGTCCATTGCATATAATTATTATAACGTGATTAGGTTTTTCCTTTAATGGTTGTTTATATCCTTAATTTTCCACACACTGTACAAATCTCATTTTTATAAGGTTAATTAGAATTACTCTGTCTAGGAGACCATCATTCTTGTTATTTAGGACTTTTAATCAGATTATGATGGGCACTTCACATTATGACTTTGAAATAACAGATGGTCCTGTATGTTTTCCACTGACATATTTTGAGCCTTAAGCTTACAAGTAATACTTAAGAAATAATCAAATAATCAGATACCATACTCCAGATTAATTCAGCAACTATTATGTCACTCAATTAGTTTCTTCAGTTGTTTGTTACATGGAAAGCATATATTAAAGTCATAGCTGGGTGTACTGAAAGACAGTGGACCAAAACTTCAGTGATAAGATATATCTTGGTATTATTTTATAAAAATAAATACCTTTAAGTGATATTGAAACAACTTTGTATACATACAAAGAAACAGACAACTTTCTTTGATTTCAGGATTGTAGAAATGATTTCAATAGTACATTTACACTTTAGAATTTGTATCTTCACAGGAACAGAAGGCCTCTTTTATAGGTTACTAAAATAGTCTTATAAATGGTTTCCTAACCTGTGAGCAATACTCTCTACATTAATTCCACATTATACAACCAGATTAATCTCCTAAAATAGATCCCCATTCATGTCACTTTTCTCCTGCTCAATATCCTCAATAGTTATTGATTTCCTTCCAGATGAAAGGCAGATTTCTCAACCTGGGATTCTAATGATGGCATGGCCACAACCTATCTTTCTTGCTTTGTCTCTTATCACTTTCCTACCCAAATCCACACTGATCAATTTGCTGATTAGTTCCAATACTTGCATTTTCTTTACTTATGCTTATGCTGCTCCTTTACCTATGAGAGGTGAAGCTGGCTGGGCTTCTGGGTCAGGTGGGGACTTGGAGATCTTTTCTGTCTAGCTAAAGGATTGTAAACACACCAATCAGTGCTATGTGTCTAGCTGAAGGTTTGTAAATGCACCAATCAGCACTCTGTAAAAATGCACCAATCAGCGCTCTGTGTCTAGCTAAAGGTTTGCAAATGCACCAGTCAGCACTCTGTAAAATGGACCAATCAGCACTCTGTAAAATGGACCAATCAGCAGGACATGGGCGGGGCCAAATAAGGGAATAAAAGCTGGCTACCCAAGTCAGCAGCGGTAGCGCTGTCCCCTTCTATGCTGTGGAAGGTTTGTTCTTTTGCTCTTCACAATAAGTCTTGCTGCTGCTCACTCTTTGGGTCCACATTACCTTTATGAGCTGTAACACTCACTGCGAAGGTCTGCAGCTTCACTCATGAAGTCCACGAGATCACAGACCCACAGGGAGGAACAAACAACTCTGGAGGCGCCAGCTTTAAGAGCTGTGACACTCACTGCAAAGGTCTGCAGCTTCACTCCTGAAGTCAAGCGAGACCACGAACCCATCGGAAGGAAGAAACTTCAGACACATCTGAACATTGGAAGGAGCAAACTCTGGACACCCCATCTTTTAAGAACTGTAACACTGATGGCAAGGGTCCACGGTTTCATTCTTGAAGTCAGCGAGACCAGGAACCCACTGGAAGGAACCAATTCCGGACACACCTACTTGCAGGATTGAAAACCCTTTGAATGCTTACTTTCATGTTGAGTTAAATAGATTATATAGCTTATGCAAGAGGTCAGCCAAAGGGCCAAACAGTAAATGTTTTAAGCTTGGTAGGCTACATACTCCATGTCACTACCATCCCACTCGAAGTGTAAAAGCAGCCACAGACAGTACCTAAATGGATGTGGCTGCTGCTGTTCTAATAAAAGTTGACATAGGGACACTGAAATTTGAATTTCACATAATTTTCTTATCAGAAAATAGTATTTTTATTTTCCTTAATCATTTTAAAATGCAAAAATCATTTTTAGCTCACAGGCCATTATAAGAACAAGCAGTGGGTCATAGTTGGCCTACACGTTCTACTTCACTGACCTCTGGTCAATACAATGGACTACCA
Organism: Homo sapiens; assembly: GCF_000001405.40. Classification (NCBI taxonomy): domain Eukaryota; kingdom Metazoa; phylum Chordata; class Mammalia; order Primates; family Hominidae; genus Homo; species Homo sapiens. The sequence continues at coordinate 198,822,430 of NC_000002.12, read as the reverse complement.
TGCAGCCATGAAAGATGAGGAGGTAGACCTGTGTGAACTAAGATGAATTACATTATTATGTATTAAAGCAAGGAGGAGAACATTATTATGACATTGTAACTTTGGTAATAATAACTTTTAAGTGTTTTTTTTTTTTAAACATATTGTTAACCTTCTTTTAGGAAGCTAAATAAAATCCTGTGAATGATAGGACTGTACATTGGGGAGAGGAAAATTTTACTTTTGTAATATTCCTGTGTGACCAGTTGAATTTTCCAGGTCATGTATTATTTTTGTTATAAGTATTATTGAAAACATTAAGAGAATATATGTGTGAGGTAAGATGATGGATTATTTTTAGTTTTTGTCTTTATCATTTTCTATAATAGAAACCTGTTAATAGTATTTTTTGCGTGTAGTTTTTTTTTTTTTTTTTTTTTTTTTTGGAGATGGAGTCTCGCTCTGTCACCCAGGCTGGAGTGTAGTGGCATGATCTCAGCTCACTGCAAGCTCCGCCTTCCAGGTTCATGCCATTCACCTGCCTCAGCCTCCCAAGTAGCTGGGACTACAGGCGCCTGCCACCACGCCTGGCTAATTTTTTGTATATTTAGTAGAGATGGGGTTTCACCATGTTAGCCAGGATGGTCTCGATCTCCTGACCTGGTGATCTGCCTGCTTCAGCCTCCCAAAGTGCTGGGATTACAGGTGTGAGCCACCGCGCCCAGCCAATAGAGTTTTTAAACTACCAATTCTTCAAGGCCAAGAGGAAAAGACATTTTCCCCTCTTTCATTCCAAACTATTGTGCTCCTTCTCTTTAATCTCCCTCTCAATATAGAATTGATGAAAGTCTCTTATCAATTCCTTTTGGAAGAAGTTTATTTTTCCTACCTTAACACACATATTTGCATATGTTATACTCTTGTGGCCACATTAAGATAATAGGCCGCCATATTTCCTCTAGGATACACACTATTGCATACTCTTCCCTTCTACTCAGAAAACCATACTGGAATGCCACTGGAAACCTTGAATCCATTCTAATTCTCAAAATATAAATGTTTTGGTCTAAATACTTAAAGTATTCAACAGAGAAAAAGCAGGCCACATGCAAAGAATTAGCAATCAGAATGTCATTGCACTTCTCAACACCTACATTGAGAGCTAGATCAAAATGAATCAAAGCCTTCAACATTCTGAAGGAAATTACTTCCAAACTGGAGTTTTAAAGCCACTTCTACTATCAATCAAGGGTGAAAGTAGAATAAAGACATTGTCAGACATACAAAGCCTCAGAAATTTTCCTAGGAAGCCACTGGAGGAAGTGATCCACGAAAATGGGGTAGTAAAGCAAGAAAGACATGGGATGCAGGAAATAGAGGATCAGAGCTGGGGAAGAGAATTCTCAAGATGAGAGTGCAAGGAAATCCAAGCATAATGGCATGCCAGGCATAGAAGGCAATGAGAGCACAATGTGACAGAAAAGCCTTTTTCAAAAACATCCAATTGATGAAATATCTGACATACCTGTACATCTTTAGAAGAGAGTTATATGATTGGGGGAATTTGTTGTTTAATCATTTGTAAGTATATAGAAAATGTAGCAAGCAAACAAATACAAACATGACAATTATTAACCCAAAGGAAAAGAACTCATGAGAACCGAATGTGCCCATTTATTTCAAATTTTACATTTAATGACCTTGGTAACCTGAAATTGAACAAAGCAGGAGTATTTATGCCATGGGACTCAGCACACTGTACCAATCGGGACTTATACAATTATTTTCTTTCCAGAGAACCAGTTTACCAGCACACCCCTGGCACTAAAATCTGAGTTGAGTTTATGTAGTAACTACCAAATGTTGATCTAATCAAAGTTATAACCTTATTGGGAAGAGGGGTGGGGGTGATAAGGGATACATATGTGGTAGGGTCAAGGAAGTAAGAGAAGTTAAATCCTAAACTTCTTACATGGTGGGAATTCAACAGGTAATGTCTAAAATAGAAATTTTAAAAAATTGAATAATTTAGAGGAAAAAACAGCCAAAACCAACAAAAAAAGTGGGGGAGAGAGAGAGAGAGATTCCATTACTCTTTCAGAAGAAATAACTTTCTCTGAAGCTTCCAGCAAACCTCTCCTTGTGTGTCATTGATCATAAATGGGTCATCATCTGTCCATTTCTAAACTAATTACTGGAAAGGTGATTACTGTTAGACCAGCCCGTCCCTCCTTTGGAAGGGAGGTTGGGGCAGCTTCCCATGAGGCACTTTGTCTGAACAAATAAAGTAGTTACCTGAACAAATTTGAAGTTTTATTAGGGAGACCTGGGTCATGGAAACTGGTTAAGTAAGGTACAGTGCAGTGTTCATTACAGATGGACAATAGGAATGCCACTCCAGGATATTTTCATATCATGCAGTCTTGTTTCCAGGTCAACTCTGTATTTTTATTATTGATTGTGATTTTTGGAAACAGATCTGCAAAATAAGTCATTAGGATGTTAATATATTACGATGTGCCTTCCGTGATTATTGGCTGATTCACTGCCATCTGGTCAGGCAAGGGATACATTATACAAAGCAAGAAAGGAGAAGAATTAGATGAAGGAATAAAAATATTATATTAAATGAGACATATAAATTTAAAAATAGACTCCGAGTAGTTATACCAATTTTGGGGAGGGATAGTCCTAAAAGGTCTGTTGTTTTATTCATTTATAGTGTGATAAATAATGTTTTTCAGTAAGGATATAGATCTTTAATCACTATTTAAATCATTTTATTTCCCAGAATCCTCGACCCTTCTGCAACAATCATGTGGGTTTTATGGTCTGATAGGCCAAACTACTACCATATAAACATTAGCCTTTTCTAAATTCCTTTTCCAATCTTTATTATTTAGTGTCTGGACCAATATCACTTTATCTAGTGAGAATTTAAAACAAAGATAACTCCTGCTTGCTTAAAACAACCTTTGGAATGCCAAACCCTTAAAAACATTAAATTAAAAATATAAACTCCATGCACTTGAAGAATCCAAGAGCTAAATTATTATTATCCTAAATTATTATTGTCCTCATTATTTCCTCTAAACCATTTAAGTTCTTCAATTTTCTATTGTAGACTTTCTCTCTTGATCTCTCACTATGGGAGAAGTGTACTGTTAAGGAATTAGCACCCTCTCTCTTCTGCACCCACCACACATATACTCCCTTTCGTCTCCCCACACCATTCTCCCAATACAGTTATACTATAATTTTGATTAGATAAATATTCAGTATTTACATTAATGTGACATATAAACTCAATTTAGAGCTGAGTGATGTGATATATATAGCAAAGTTTAGAAAAGAACTACAGATATTTTTGTGTTAGAGTATGAGTAGAACTGGTATTCTATTTCCATAGGCTCATCTCTCCCTGCCTGAAGGATTTTTACCTTTCTTAAGCTGTGTAATTCGTTAAACAGTTTCCTTTGCCTTTTAATAAAAATTAAAGCTTTGCATGCCTCTTGGCTTTGTTTGCTACCTGCTTTTTCTAAGTTCCTGATGGGGCCTCCCATGTTTCCACCTGCCCTCACATGTGTAAATAGCTTGTTTTTCATTTATTATTTGATAGATAAGGTCTGAAAGTTTTCTGTTGGCTTGCTTTTTCACACACTGGATACAATTGTGTGTTATGTTTCTCTATGTTGGAAGTGGCCAAATATGATCCTGCTTTGAGCTTGACAGAATCCATGTAAAACATGCTCAGGCCTTGTTATTTTGTTCTTTTCCTGTGTAGATCTTGTGGCCACTTTACAAGCACTTTCAAAATGCTGCTTGTTTGAACAAGGAATTAAATGCAATTAAGTTAGAGTCCCATGTAAGGCTAAGTCTAATATGACTATAGTCGTGCAGGTGAGCATTGTGTTGGGTGAAAAAACAGAAACACTGTGATTAGGGCTTCAAGAAAACAGTTCATTAGACCTGCAGAAGCCACATCAGGGTAACTCTACCGCAAGTAATAATGGTACATATCCAGGGAATGTACAAGGGATACAACCACTTAGTATTTACTGTATAAGCAGCTCCTAAACTACAAATACTAATATGCTGCAAAGACTCCATATTCCTAATGTAAAAGACAAAGGATAAAAGACTTGTTTTCTCTCTACCTGTATCAATCCAAGCCTGGTTTATAATACTCCAAATTACCTACCATAACTGCCTTTTGCTATATTTAATTACTTATAATCTCCTAAGGCTGTTATGAGATAATAGATGTGTAAATGCTTTGGAAAGTAGAAAGTGCTCAACAAATGTTAGGTGTTATTAGTAATTAAACAAGTTTTCCTAATAAAAAGAGCATGTATGCCACAGAACTGGCAACTAGAAGATTCTTTTTTATTTTTTATTTTATTTTGCATTTTGGAACTTCATCTAGCCTGCATAAACAAAAACAAATTATCACTTTTCTTTGTCTCCATACCAGTTAGAACCATAAAAACTCACCTATCCATGTAATTCATCTGCTAATATTCTGGTTTTGTATCCTGAGTTAAAATGTGAGATCATTCTCCCCCAATTTAATTTTTTTGACAGTGAATATTTATACTAAATTTAAATTAAGTGTAAAAGAGCAGATTGATAAGAACACCAAAAACCTTGTAGATCAACCAATAACACCAGCTGTCCAAATTATTCTACAGCATTGCAAAGGTTCCTCTAAACTGCATATTTATTGCTGGATACATTCCATCCATATGACGTACAAATTTGAGATTTATACTTTTAAACATAATAAGATGGAGTTCTGCCATGCCTACTGGGTGATAAGTAAATGCATACACAACCAATTTGGTTTAAATCTCAGTCCATAATATTTTTGCATTAATCTTAGGCCATATGACTTTTTTTTAAGATCAAGTACTTATAATTGTAGAATGTACAATTTCTTTCCTATATACTTTCTACTTAAGGTTTCATAAAACTTCAAGGGGCCTCAGTATCCTGAGAAATATGACATTTTCACTTCCGTTTTATGCACTTATAGAATCCTGATAAAACAAAGGCAGTTATTTACACTGTGGCTCTAGATAATGCTTGATGGCCACAATGAGTCAATATTTAAAATGTATCTTTTACTATCCTTTGTATAGCCAAATATTTTGTAAATAAATAAGTTATTAATTACTGAAACATGCAAGTAGCCTCACAATGTGTACATTTATAACACTTTGAATAAGGGAAATCTCATTAATTCAAATAAAATGGAAAATACTGGGCAGAATTAGTAAACAAAAATCAATTAAATAATACTTTAAACAAATTTAATTTTATTTCTTTCAGATGCACACAGTAGCTGAATTAGGCTAGAAAAAAGTTGCATGATTTTTGCTGTCATCAATAGACAAGACTGTTTAAATAGTAAATATATTTTCACTATGTAAACGAGTACTTCTCAAGTGTTGAGAGGTAATCTGTTTGCTTGTTCTTTAAAACAACTCTCTACATAATCTCTCTTTATATTACCTAAGAAGAAAGAATAAGGAAGGTAAATGTTAACCCCAATGCTGAATGGTCCCTAGTTCCAATCCTAAGAGTTTTAAGAGTTAACATTAATGAGGTTTTACTGTTCTAATAGCTCAGTGTCACATGAGTATTGAGAATTTTACCTTTGAATTTTTTACATTATTAGTATTATTGCTTGAGAACATACATGTTTTTCTCTTGGTGTTTTTCAAGGATAAGCCTGTCTGATTGTCAGTGACTCTTAGGAATTTAGCTAAAGTATGGTTTTTATCAATACACCAGGACCTTCCTATTCACAGATTTTCAATGTTATCCTGTATTTGTAAGTTTAAAACATACCCTTTCATGGAATTTGCTCATCAGTAATATTTGCTAAGTTGCTGTTTTTTCTGACTGTAGCTTGCCTTCAGCCTGTTTTTATTTCTACAAAGTGGTCTACAAAGTGGGATGCTCAGAATACAAGGTGTAAATAATATAATCCTTTTTAGAAGGAAAATATTAGAATTGCTCTTTATGTACAGTTTTTTCTAATCCTTTAAGTTTTTCTCTCTTTGTATAAGGTTTTAATGTTAAATATTACATATTTGCATGGTACCATATCTTTATAATTTATAAATATGTAAGTTGAAGTTCATTGAGGGTAACTGTTTAAGTATTTTACATAGACGTTTAAGGATGACTGATCTAAGAGTTCTTTCAGATATTCAAACTTTCCCATTAATTCACTTTGTTATTTGTCTTTTTTTATGTTATTTTCGTCCCCAAAATACAGTAAAACATTCACTGCTCAGGTACACAGATATCATTTGCCATTCTTTATTGGCCTGATATGCTGCTTACTTTAGCAAAAAAAAATTGATTGTTAAATTTTTGTTTATGATAATAAAGTGTCATGACCTCTTTATGGCCTGAACAGTTTTTTTCTTTTTTTAATCTTTCCTTAACACAGCATTGACTAATCTTCTAATCCATGACTTGAAGTTCATTTTTCAGGTTGTAAACCGATTTTAATTTCACCTCCGGGTGCCGTATGACCCGGTGGAAGTTGAAAGGCTACTATGATTTGTTCCTTTTATTGAGTCAGCTAGTCCCCAAGTCTTCCACCCACTCTCCTGCAATGAATATGCACTGTTAATATAGCTGTAGACAATATTTGGTGTATATTATGGTTATTGTTGTTCCTGTTGATGTCATTTTTATTGCTATAGACTTTTGACTTATAATAATAATCACAAAATGAACAGAAGCCAGAGCTGTGTAACTAGAGACTTTTTCTTTTTAACAGCTGTTGTAAACTCCAGTATGTAATGTGTAAGGCTCAATCCTTTTCCCAAAATAACATGATAAAGCTTGCTAGAGACACAATTAGGCTCAAGAAAAGTTTTCCTCCATTTGTGGTTTATAATGTAATAACATTGTGTTTGTTGAAGGTGGGTAGGAGTAGATGTGTTTATGAGCCTGCTGTGAAGTGTTGGAACTTAGTCTTTTTATCACCGTATGATCTGTTATAGCTTGGCACACAGTAGGCACTCAATAAATAGTTAATGAATAAAGAATGAACAATAAATGAAAATAATTTTAACAAAATTTCATAATAAAACATTTCTAATGCTCTTTTGTATCATTCAATGTTATACACTTTGAGTATTATTGAATCATGTGTGCTGAATTGCATACTGGGAATAGAGTATGTCCATGTTGGATGCTGTGTAAGACAAGCAGTAATTTGCATATAGTGATATATGTTCTGGGAAGGATTTATTAAAACACAACTGATATAAAGGGGCTAGATAAAAATATAATTATAGCAAATTGATATAGAAGAGCTAAATAAATAAAATAAACATACTATAAAGGTACATTCAAAATTCATATTTGCAATTACTCAAATGTTGACCAATTGCCTAATATGTATTGAATGGTGCCAAAGATTATGCCATTGACCCACTATCATGAAGACAAGGTAATTGTATTTCTAGTAATGGTGATGACCAACTTATATTGCTTTAACCTGTTGCCCTCTGAGACCAACCAATGACATATCCTTGTAGATACCTTAATAGAATTAACTTTACTCTCTGCTATACCAAAACACAGAATACAGCTAATTTTTATCTCCAAAGACCAAAATGATCCTCTGGCTTCACTGATGCTAATCTTTAATCAATTGAACTAATCAGCTTTAGGCTCCATATATGAACCAATAAAACATGGATTATTTTAAAAATGGGAACTATAAGTTTATGACTTGCATAACTTTCTCCTCTTTTACATCCTGAAATCATCATAATCATGCTTATCTTGATACAAGTAATTGAAGGTCAAGACTGTTACTGGAAGTTTTAAGGAGTTACATCATCACCATTTACTCATACCTTTACCCCTTATTTCTGGCATTTTAATTATTATAAATAAAGTTTACTGGGCTTATTTAGATTGGTGGGTTTTTATTATTTTTCACTGGGGGCAGGACCCTGACAAGAAGCCTAAATTTCTGGGCATTATCTTTTGAGAAATTGCAAGGAGAAGAAAAACTGAGGACTAAAACATGACTGCTTATCAAAGTTGGGTATTTCTGGTGCTATTATTATTATTATTATTATTATTACTGTTTCTTTGTAGAAGCTTTGTGAGGTTTTATTATTGTTGTTGTTGTTATTGCAGAGTTTAGCCACTTTAGGACCAAAAGTGAGGGTTAGCTCAACCTTGATCTAAAATGGAGTCTATTCAAAGAGGCACATCTTTACCATAAATTAGATGGATAGTACCTTTGGGAATTTCCGCATCTTACAACTGATAATTTATAATAGATTTTGATAAGGTTAACTGCTTTGTTCTAATACTAACTTTATGTACAAAAAATATATGTAGAGTGGAGAACAGAAATGAAATATCTTGAGAATGGCTTTTCTTAGAGAAACTTTATCATATCTGAGCAATCAAAAATTGGTGTCAGAATAATGGCTTTTAAACAAAAATTTTCTGAATATGAAGTTCAATGATTACTTTGATAGTTTCAGTCATATATATTACCTAAGTTGTTTTTATTTTATTAGGTTGCATACTACAGAGCTCAGAGACTATATTAAAGTCCTTATACCAATATATAAACACTAACTTCTAAAAGTAAAAGACAAACTTTATAAAAACTTAATTTGACTCTCTTCTGAAGCTCACTTTCTAATTTTCTAAAGTAAAATATTTCACTTAACTTTTTATAAAGTAAAACAAAAAATAAAATTTAAAATGCTCCTTTTGTATTGCATAAAGACATATTTAGAGTATAAAAGGATTGAACCACATAAATGTAAACATGGGTTTAATATTTTTTTAGCAAACAAAATATAAATTAAATCGGTAGTTATTTTCATAGGGTCAAGTATTAAATATATTTTTTTGAAAACTGCTTACAATATTACTTTGGATGTATGAAGCAATAAACAAATAAAAATAGAATTAGATTCTTAGTGAGAATCTATTCTTAGAGGAAATGGGTATTTTCCCAGGATTTTTAGATGTTTATAATTTGGATGTCTCCCAGTATTCATCCCTTTCCTATCCCTGGAACATCAGTCATTTTCCGCATGGCACCTGGACCTGAAACGATGCTTCGAATTAATATATGTTAAAAATAAAAATTTAAAATTAAAAAAGGCTACCCAAATGCTTTTTACTTTGTAATAAAAGAGACAGAAAGAGAAAGATCCTTATGTATGATTTTTCTGTCTATAGGATTTTTCTTAGTAGTCTGACAGCCCTGCCAGAAAGCAATTAAAACCATCATATTCATTGTAACTGGTGAGTTGCTCTTTTTGGTGATGTAGCTATGTGGCTTCTTACCCCTGTCTCTGATGATGATTGTGGTTTAATTTTTCCAAGGATGCTGTTGTTTAGTAGTAAGCCTAAATCATTTAAAAAATAAATTATATACTTTTATTTTCCAGTTTTAAAGAAACATTTGGGCAAGCAGGATTATTTATACCCATTATCTATGCTCCATTTTTTTAAGATCATTAATAATTTTTTCCACATGGACTTGCTCCTTTTATTTACTGGTTTAAAGGATTAACCTATGCAATAAGATTCCATCTGCTCTGATATGTAAAGCTCTTATATTTAATTTTCATATTCCTATTAAAAAGAAAAGGATGGGGATATTAAAATATGTTCACATTTCTTATTGAATCCATGGTCTTCTGAGTTGAATCTTAGGGAAATGATCTTACAATGCTAAGATCTTACAGATGAACTCTTAATAAAAATGTTATGTTTAGTGAAGTCATTTTTGATCGTATAGATGTTTAATATATTTAATGCTTTCCCTCTGAAGTTAGTAAAGCTAGCAATGCCTTTATAGATAATGATTAAACTGCTATTAAAAATAATGTATATGCTTTTAGAATATGACAAGTGTTAACGTCAAAAGGAATCATTGACATTTATTGAGTGCTTGCCATTTGGCAATTTCTTTTACATAGATTATTTTACTTATTTTTCACAAGATTTCTTCAAAATTAATGTTAACACCCCTGTCTTTACTTATGAGAAAACTGATAAGCAGAGAGGTTATATAATTTTTCCCAAATCACACAGCCAGGAAGCAGAAGGGCCAATATTCAAATCTTGTATTGTTTTAATACATGGCTCATACACTACCCCTGGATAGATTTGATTTTAGAAATCATCTAGTTTGGGCCGGGTACAGTGGCCTGTAAACTCAGCACTCTAGGAGGCCAAGGCAGGCGGATCCCTAGAGCCCAGGAGTTCGAGGCCAGCCTGGGCAACATGGTGAAACCCCATCTCTATAAAAAGTACAAAAATTAGCTGGGCGTAGTGGCATGTGCCTATAGTCCCAGCTACTCAGGAGGCTGAGGTGAGAGGATCACTTGAGTCTGGGAGGTTAAGGCTGCAGTGAGCCGAGATTGAGCCACTGCATTCCAGCCTAGGGCACAGAGTGAGACCCTGTCTCAGGAAAAAAAAAAAAAAAAAAAAGGAAAAAAATAATCTAATTTGAACCTTTCACATTTTTACATGAAACTGGGGCATAGAGCACTAGTATGACTTACCCAGGGGCTGGGACTCTGAGAGCATTTTCTACTTTGCTGCCATTGGATAACTTGAATCAAACTTCAAGGACTGAATAATTGAATGAATTAATGAACAAAGGACAATGACGGGAGGCATACAATTGATAGAGCCCTAAACCAACAGTTAGGAAATTGGGCTCTAGGCTTGTTCTGTCTTTTTTGACCCATATGGCCTTGAACATGTTGCTTAACTCTTTCTGATTCAGTTTCTCCATTTCCATAATGGGAGTCATAGTGAATTTCCTGCCCTAGAGAGTTTGTTGCAAAAATCAAATGAAGTAATACACGTTAAAATTACTTTGCAAATTGCAGAAAATTTTATAACGTAAATCATTTAAAATCCATGTGCATTTAAAAGTACATACAGTTCAAAGCACACATACTAGACAGTAAACTTTACAATGCAAGTCATTCAGGGAAATGATATGTGACACACCAATTAGTCTTCACTGGACTGAAAAACTGTGGCTAACTTCTGCACAAGTCCAATCAAATTTGGTTAGCAGACGACAGAAGGTAATGAAAGGACACTCTCTGGGTGGCTCAGGGCATCTCCAGAAGTTAAAATATCAGCCCTTGTTTGACAGTGCTTCTTTTTGTCTAATACTATGAGGTTAAAATTCTAGTTTGAGGAGGGCAATATGGGTTCCCCAGGCTCATGTCAGTTTCTGTGCGTTTGTGTAAACAGAAGGAGAATGTAAAAACTTCTTAGCAGTGCATCTAATGATTTTTAATGTAGATCTCCCAAAGAACAGTCAATTTATCTACGTTCTTTGGGTTTACCACATAGAATCTTCTAAAATTCTGAAAAGAGGGGACAATGGAAGACACAGATATAGGGCAGGAAAAGTTAGGTAATTTGACCAAGAACAGCAAGTGGGACAGTTAAAGACTACCATTTAGGGAAGGATGAACAATTAAGGACTAACATATAACCTATTAACTTTCAGTTCAATGAATAATACACTAAAATTTCCTTCAAGGAACCTGGAGAACTAAGAAGATAATGTTTTATGCAGTCCCCTGAAAATTACACTTTGGGCTGCCTTAGAATACTCTTATTTCAAAGGTTTACATGTGAATTTATCTCATTTTTCTCTTCAAGACAATCCTGGGAAGCAATTAAGGCAGGTTGTACCATTATAATGCCAGGACACTGGGACTCACAGAGGTTGTGCTTTCTGCCTAATATTGTCGAGGCAGCAGACATTCTATCTTGGGGATTTTGACTCCTAACCACCATTCCATGCTGCTTCTTTAAGAAGAGAATATAAAGCTGACCTTCACATCTTTGACATCATGGTCCATATTGATAAGCATAGTAACTCCTTTGTGCAAAGAAAGCTGAAGATAAAATATTTTAAAAAATAAAAACTAAATCAAAATGGTTTGAATCAGTCATTTTTTTCAAATCTCAGATTCAAGCCACAGCCCCTTTTACATCCAACGGAAAGTTTTAGTTTAAAGGGGAAAATTTGCAGGAAAAAGCCTAATTCTTCCCAGTTCAGATTTCAAACAGTCTCTCTTCTAACCTAGTGTATCTTTAGGTCCCCTCTTGCCTAGCAGGATTGTAGGGAGTGCTGTTTTTGAAGTTCCATCAATCTATTAAACATTAGACAGAAGGTTTTAGGAAACAGGCCATGTGTATTGTGACGTACAGTCCTGGAAAGAAAAATGATCAATCTGTGTATTTGCCTTTTAACTAGTTGTAGACAAGTTGGCCACATCCTTGGCACATTAATGAATTCTGTCATGTCTCATCTCCACTGCTCTCTTATTATATGAATTCAGTTCTCCGTTTGGCAATAAAAATAAAGTCGCTGATTTAAGTTTCTACTTTCAAGCTAGGGCTCATGGTCCTTAATAATCAAGAGACTGGATCCATACGGAGAACAAAAAGTTTTGTAATGTGATTTGTAATGTGTAACTTGAACTAGATATTTAAAGGGAATTTTCTGTAAGATTATTCACAGAGACATATTCTTGCAAATGTTTTCTTTTAGATAGTGTGTGATCCTACACCTTTATGAAACTGCTTTTTCCTTCTTCTAAATTCCAGATATATGCAGGAATTTAGAATGTTATTGAAAATAGAGGCTTTCACATTTATTCACAGATAGATTTAAATTACAGTTATTAAAAACTTGATCAATACCAAAACATGTGAGTTGGGCATTTGATTTTTCCCAATTTACAGAGAAGTGATTGCAAATACAGCTTACAAGGCCCAACTATATTTTCCCCATAGTGTCTCTATTGAAGAGGCCTTTCTAGAAAATAGGGCTACTTTCCTTAGCATCTGGTCTCTTTTATCTGGCACATTGATTCCTGGCTCCTTTTTATCTAGGACAGCCTATTTATAAATCAAATATAACCACTTAGATCTCTCAACTAGTAGCCCCCCTCCTGTATTTAAATTAGTCTTTAGGGTATGTTCAAGTTTTTCCTAATGACGTATGTTAAGAATTTCAAGGTCTTTTTGATTCATTGGATAATGTCAAAAGAATAAGAGTGAATAGATCCTGAAAGGATAAAAATTTATCAACTCTAGACATTATCTTGAAGTGGTAAATATGTCTATACTCTGGAATATATGTTTTAATTTGAGCAAAACATTTTTCTGTATTAAACAAAATGTTCTGTTTTTCTCATGTGGGACTCTGACTTTATTACATTACCATAAACAATTAGTAAGAGGAGTCCGTCAATAATCCATTTGACGACTTCAGATTTATTTTCCTGTACTATGAGTGGCAAAATATTGTTTCCTTAATGGCTTTGTTTCCCTTGTCATTTTCTCAGTCTGGGACATTTTTTGTTAATTCATTGATTTAAGAGCTATTTATTGGAATGCTACTATCTGTCATATAAATACTGTCCTTGTTACAGCAGAAAAAGATCTTTCTCTCATGAAGTAGGTGTTGTGGTAGAAGGGAGAGGCAATAAAAAAAACAAGCAGTTAAAATGTACTCTTATTGATTCCAAGATGCACTTTTTTTTCTACCTGAAATGTTTCTGAAAGGAATATACATTTTATAACTGATGACATCTGATAATCACTGGTGACCTGGGGACGATGGTGATATGGATGTCACTGCCTGCTCATGAATGAACAGAAGCACCAGCATCAAAAATTGCAGAATTAGTGTCAGTGACCACAAAGAAATTGCACGCAATAGTGGAATGGTCTTTTAACTCTTAGAAATCAAAAAGTTCTGAGGAGGAGCTAAAAGAGGTGGGGAATCATGTTTAGCCCTGTCCTCAAAGGGGAGCTTTGAGCCTGTGCTTCTCCTAACGACATGTTTAGTGAAAGTTCTCATCCAATGGGAGAACATTTTCCCCTTTAAGATTATTCTATAGGAGTGAGGGGAAAAAATCAATGAATCAACATTTTCATACATTATCCTGTCATTCCTTTGGGCTAACAATGCAAAGCAGGAATCCTTAGGTCCTCACACTTCAAAACTACTCCACGATATAGGTATTCCTCAAAGGGAAATTTATCTTTTCAAAACATATACAACAATATTTTTACTGAGACTATACCAGAGCATTTAGACAAAAATTATAATTTAGTAAAAAGTATAAAAACAAAATCTTCTTGTTATATACATAAGAAACTTTCCTAAAAGATTCGACTTGTTTCCCATCTCTCTTTGCTTTGGCTTGCAGATTATTCTAAAACTTTGCAAGTTAAATTATATCATCAGATGTTGGAGGACAAACCTACTTCCCTGCACCAATTTGCAGGCAATGCAATTGCTTACATGTCTATACAGCTCTTGTGGTACTCAAAAGTAATCTAACCAAAATCATATTTTCACATGCACTGACTTAAGACAATATATATACTTTATTTCTAAGTGAAGCCCCAAGTTATTTTTTTCCTGTATGTCTTTATGAGGAGGTGCTTAACATGTTACCTTTTTCTTTTGGAAAATTCTCTTTTAAACTCTTTGGAGGACTGCAGCAGCAAGCAAGCTTTCTTCCCAGAGAAAACAAACTTTGCTACTCAAGTCACTGATGATGGCTTATTTATTTCAGTCCCGGCGTGTAATCTTATTGGCACTTAAATAATGATCCTGTCTTTGAATGTATAGTTTTCAAGTCTTTATTTTATGCATTAAACTCACAGCTGTTGTTTTATCCTTGACATTACCATTGATTTGGTAAGAAGAACTTTCAGTATTTTTTTAAATAAAACAAACAAAACTCCACTTTCAGTAAGTTCTGTAAGTTGTCTCAACTGCCCACCATGACATTATCAAATGACAAAACCCAGAACCTCCTAGAAAGCAGAACTTACCTTATAGAAGTATAAAACAAAACAACACACACGCACACACACACGCACACACACAAGCCTTTAGTAATCACTTAAATGAACATAGTATAGAACCAGGGTTATGCATTCCTTGACCTTTCATTATATTGTCAACCTTTGCATAAATGCCCTTGACAGTAAGACAGTAATGAGAAGATAAATATGCATTAGCAAGTTTTAAGAGCTTACTTACCTGGTTCTTGGACCAAGTATGCTTTCATGAGAAAAATGAATAGCTATCCTAAAAATCTGGCCTCCACCATAGAATGAGGTCATCATCACTGAGGAAATCTGACCAACTGCAGGGGCCCAATTAAGTAATTTTTAGCAAAAACCCATGTTGACTCAACTTTTCTATCCTGATTTGGTTTTCATAAGTCTAAAGACTGAACATAAATCTCTCATTCTGTAAAACTCCTCTTTTAAATATTTTGTTTATTATGTGATAATGCAAGCCATTCTTTTTGTTTCTTACATTCTTGAGGGGGCCACATGGTGTGTGAAAAAAGTATGAATTTCAGAATCCATAAGACCTGGGTTCAAATTCTGGCTACATTATTTACCAGTTATGTGACCCTTAAAAAATTACTTATTCCCTTGGTTTATATACTGTAAAATGGGGTTAATGATGAGAATCAATAATAGTACACATCCCAAAGGAAGTATTAAATAAATGGTTTGTTTTTTACCTTTTCCTCTCAGTTTTTTTCCTAATTGGATATAATGTTTGAACATCATAATCCCTACGAAAAATCAATTTTCCTCCCATCAATTGAAATAATTTGAGTAATGGAAACTTCTGCAATATAATATTTAACAGAAAATTATGACATAAGAGGAGTAAAATAAAATAAGCACATTTCAATTAAAAGAAAAAGAATTTGCAAGGACTATCAAAACTGTAGATTTGTATCAGTGCCCCGTCTTCTGACAGTAAGCAGCCCCTCAATAAATTTTTCTCCAAATCCTATTTAAATACTTCTGAAGACACAGAAAAAGTAAAGTTGTATCACTAACAAAAATGAAGACTTTTGGATATGCTTTTAAAATAACTTTGAAGGGATTCCCATTAACCTGAAGACAACAATGCTGAACTGAGGAAAGCCAGGTACTTATAAAGCTTTTCATCACAGTGTAGTTCCTTCTAGCTTAAGAGGCCAAAGGAAAACATTTTCCTCTATTATGCTCTCTGCCTCCGATATGAGACATGAGATATATTGGCATATAATTGGAAATAGTTATAATCAGCCAATCATCTGAGACCAGATCAAGTACCCTATAACGAATCCACATGATGGAGCACTATATGGCTCCCAAAGTCATGTTGCTGATGAGGCAGGTGCATCGGGTTGTTAGGAGCCCAGTCTCTAGAGTTATCCCTGGATTGTATCTTCTCCTCATTACTCGTTGAACCAGATATTTGTTGTACACTGTCCTCATTTGTAAATGCCTAAAAATTGGCATTTGATCCTCTCTTGGTGGAAGGTTGGATTCTGAGATGACCAGGGTAGAGTTCTTCCACTGTTGACTCTCATGGTCAGTTGCAACCCCCAAAACCTACAGGGATGGAAAGGGAGAAGGGAAGCAAGTACCTCCGGGACATTGGATGCCCTCCATAGTTTAAATCTGGAAAGTTGGCATAGGCACTCAAGATCCCAGATTGAACTGAACTTTAGGACCATCATTGTATGTATGCAAATTTCATTGATTAAGTATGTTGGAGAATGAGGCAGTGGCATAAAACCGCTTCAGCAAAACCAAACTTCATGTTTTTAAGTGTTGGGAATTGAGCTCAAAACTGAGCAAATCAGCCAGCCCTCCACTGTACTTGAAGGGGATTCATTCAGCACCAGGAGAAAGTAGTGCCATGCAATCTGGAACTCTGTTTTATTTACAGCTTATCTATTACTAGAATAAAGCTCAGCACATGAAAACTTCAGTATTTGTTAAATGAATGAATAAAGAGAGAGAAATGAGAAAAGAGGAATGAAGGGTAGCTCATCTATTCTGACTGTTACTAAATCAAATTTGTGTGCATCTGTCCTCATTTAAGGATAAATAAAGAAATAAATACACCAACAAGGGGCCTTTGAGAAATATTAGACAAAAAAATCATTCAAAAGAAAAAATTACTTCCCAAATTATCTAATCTATGAATTAGAAAATTTTTTTTGACACCTTCAAATGATTTTGTTCAAATCATCAGATAAGAACAAAAGAGCTGGCGCAAAAGGGCAAGAGAAGATGAAAAGAAAATAGGAATAAACTTAGTTAGAAACCAACCTGACAAGAAATGTGGATGAGATGTGGAAAAACTAAAATACAGAAATACTTTTATATTTTATATTTTAAAAAAACAAAAATATAAATGCCAACTAAAAAGTAGAACTCCACAATGTTAATAGGTGTTGACTCTGGATTATAGAATTGCCGAATATTTCATGTTCATATTTATACTTTACCATTGTTTTTCTAAAATGAGAATGCATTCATTTTAAGATAAGAAAAAAATCACTTTAGGGAGGCTAAGGCAGGAGGACTGCTTGAACCCAAAAGTTTGAGAACAGCCTGGGCAACATGGCAAAACCCCTCTCTACAAAAAATAAAAATAAAAAATTATCTAAGCATGGAGTCCCAGCTACTCAGAAGGGTGAGGTGGAAAGATAGATTGAGCCTGGGAGGTCAAAGCTGCAGTGAGCTGTGATTGCGCCAATGCACTCCAGCCTGGACCACACAGCAAGGCCCTATCTCTAAAAAACAAACAAACAAAAAAGATAAGAAAACATCATTAAGTTTTTTATATAAAAAAGAGTATGCCAATTCATATAGGAGTGTACTAAGATGGGCTTGTTATTATGAGATAAAAATGAGTGTAGTTTTCTTTTGGACTAAGCTTCACAAATTTTAATTCTATTTCTTGACCTAGTAACTTTCTAAGAAACTGTTGCTCTGGCTATGACCTTAGAATGGATTTATGTACATGGTTGGTCACTATAGCAATATTTCCAATAGTGAGTAATTTGAAACAGTATAATCAGCTAACAATTTGAGGCCAATGAAGTAACTTATGTTATATCCAGGTAATGAAGTGTTATATATAGTTATTGAAATTGTGTTGCTGATGAGACAGTTGCACTTGTTTGTTAGGAGCCCAGTCTCTCCAGTTATTCCTAGGATTATATCCCTTCCCCACTATTCTCTGGATCACTAATATACTGTCCTCATCTGTGAAAAGAGATTAAAAGCAAATGATGTCTTACTTTTGTTTTAAGTATTAAATAACATGATGCATAAAAAGTGCTTCTCACAGCGTGTCACAGATTGAGCCTTCCATAAATTTTAACAGTAACTGTTTTTGAAATTATAGAAACAATTTATGATATAAAATTAAGTCAATGAAGTAGAATACATGAATGTGTGTGTACGTGCACATGTGTGTGTGCACAGAATGAGCCCGGCAATATAATCTACCTATACCTTTACACATCACAAGCACATATGCACACATCAGAATCTTAGTTTTTATTTTAGGCAGTAGAATTATGAGTCATTTTTCTTTGTAATTCTGCGTATTTCCAAAATTGTCTATAGCAACATATATTACTTTTAGCATTAAGAAAAACAAATTAATACATAAAAATTTCATAATATAGTAGTTTTTATATAAGAGCTACCTGACTCATAGTAAGCATTGAACAAATACTTGTACAATGAATAGATGAATTAATGAATGAGAGCTAGTTGTTTCTATGTCCTTAAGTAACCCCTGATAATCCTCCCAAAGCATAACTTTAATCCAGAAAATCCTCTGCTCACAGAATTCCAAAGATCAGAATGCCAAGAAGTGAGTCCAGGTTCTTAAGAGAATAGCATAGAAAGTTCTATAGGACCTGGTTGAAAAGCACCTTTGCTGTTTTCTTCCAAGCACTTTACCTTTTCCCCGATATACTATGGCCTGGCTAAACTACTCACCCTTTCCACACCCAATGTACCCTTGTCACCTTGACTTATTTTTCCTGTCACTCAGACTCCCCTACCATTTTATCAAGCTTTGAGGCTGAGGGTCAGGAGCTTTGCCCAAATGCAGAACAGAATTAATTCCATCCTTTGTTGTGTTCCCATAAAAAATATTAACATATTTGTTCATTTTTAATACCACTTGTCATGTCTTATCCTTAAGATTTTTGTTTAATTTTCTAATAAGTAAGAAAATATTTATTTTAGTTACATTATTATCCTGTTTTCATCCCAAAGGAAAAAACAGAATTGTCTCCCCTTAACCTGTAGGAAAGGAGGATGAAATGTTTCCTTATTTTTTATGTATAATCTCTTCTTCAAAATATTTTATTTCACAGAAACACATATAGTGAAAATTTTAGAAATACAAATGGGTATAGAATAAATAGTTATTATATAACTATTCTATATTATATAATTATATAATATAAAATAAAATAATATATAATATAATACAATATAATATATTAGATAATATAATATATAACATATTACATAATATAATACATATTATATTATATTAATATATTATGTATTATATAATTATATAATATATAATATATTAAATAGTATTATATAGTTATATATTACATAATTAATATATAATAAAAATTATATAATAAAAAAGAGACAGAAAGTAGAATACAGTTTACCAGCGGCTAGGGGCTAAAGAGAAGTTATTGTTTAATGAGTACAGAGTTTTTGCTGGGGATAATGAAAACATTTTGTATATATAAGATAGTAGTGGTGGTTACACAATATTATAATGTATTTAATGCCACTAAATTGTACATTTATGAATGGTTAAAATGACAAATGTTATGTATGTTTTACCACAACAAAAAAGAAACCATCACCCAATCCAAGGTCACTATATAATTATATAATTATATAATATTCTATAATAAATATGATCATATCTCTCCAGAGTTTTATTGAGTTGTAACTGATGTACAATAAATTACAGATATTTAGAGTGTACAGTTTTATGTGTTATTAAGATAAGGAGCATCTATTATCCCCAAAAGTCTTTTACTTCTCTTTTGTTATTTTTAAATCAACAGTAGTTATTGAATTAAAATGTGGTTTTACTGAGACATAATTCACATGACAGATAATTCATCCATTTAAAGGGTACTATTCAATTTTTTTAGTATATATCCAGAGTTGTCTAACCATCATCACCACAACCAATTTTAGAACATCACCCCAGAAAGAAACCCTATATTCATTAGCAGACATCTACTTTCTCCATCTCCCTCCAGCCTTAGGCAACAACCTATTTACTCTATTTATCCATAGATTTATCAATTTTGGACATTTTATATATATGGAATCATACAATGTGGGGTTCTTTGTAACTGGCATGTTTCATTTAGCATAATTTTTTCAAGATTCATCATGTTGTGGCGTGTATCAGTATTTCATTCTTTTGTTGTGGCTGAATAATATTCAATTGTATGCTGGTACCGCATTTTTTTAATCCATTCATTAGCTGATGAACATTTGAGTTGTTCTTACCTTTCGGCTATCGTGACTAATGCTGCTATAAACATTTGTGTGGAAGTGTTTTTTTTTTTTTTTGAGTCAGAGTCTAGCTCTGTCGCCCAGGCTGGAGTGCGGTGGCGCAATCTCGGCTCACTGCAAGCTCCGCCTCCTGGGTTCACGTCAGGGGCCCGCCACCACACCCGGCTGATTTTTCTGTATTTTTAGTAGAGACGGGGTTTCACGGTGTTAGCCAGTATAGTCTTGATCTCCTGACCTCGTGATCCACCCGCTTCGGCCTCCCAAAGTGCTGGGATTACAGGCGTAATCCACCGTGCTAGGCCAAGGGTTTTTTTTGTTTGTTTTGTTTTGTTTTTATTAGACAAATGACATTATTAGGCGAGTATGTGCATTGGACAGTTTCCTCACAGCAAGGGGACTGTTCAGGTACTACAACGTGATGGTTACTACTCAGAAGTGGGGCAGGGCAAGGGAACTCCTGGGAAAAGCAGAATTATAAAGGAAACTGTGTGTCTAGCTGATATCCCTAAGCAGCAAAAAGGATCAAAGAACTCTGAAAGGCATAGGGGCTTGGGATATTTTTAATACAGGCACTTATTTATGACTAGCAGACGTTAAATGCAGTTTCATGGGCTTTGAAAAGCAGGCAGGCTCTAAATGGCTAACAATCTCTTTATTTGAGCTATGCTTGAAACTACTGAGCGTGAAAAAATTTGCATTTGGTACAGGTGAGCTGTTGTGTGCACAAGTTTTTCAGTGGATATCTGTTTTCATTTCCCTTAAGCATATACCTAGGAGTGGACACTAGGTTGTAAGATACTTCTGTATTTTACCATCTGAGAAACTGCCACACTGTGTTCCAAAGTGGCTGCACCATTTTCCATTCCCATGAGCAATATTTGAGGTTTCTGACTTCCCCGTATCCTTGCCAACACTTGTTTTTCTCTGAAGTTTTTGATTCTAGTAATCCTAGTCAGTGTGGTATCTCACTGTGGCTTTGATTTGCATTTCCCTTATGGCTAGTGATGTCGAATGTGTTATTATTTGCTTACTGGACTTTTGTGTATTAACTTTGGAAAAACATCTGTTTAGATTTTTGCCCCATTTTATAATTAGGTTATTTTTCCTTTTGTTATTGAGTTGTTAGAGCTTCTTTGTTTTTGTTTTATTTTGTTTTCGAGACAGAGTCTCGCTTCATCGTCGTCCAGGCTGCAGTGTAGTGGCATGATCTTGGCTCCCTGCGATAGAGCTTCTTTTTTTATTATACTTTAAGTTCTGACATACATGTGCAGAATGTGCAGGTTTGTTACATAGGTATACATTTATCATGGTGGTTTGCTGCACCCATCAACCCATCATCTACATTAGATATTTCTCTTAATTCTATCCCTCCCCTTCCCCCCGCCCACCCACCAACAGGCCCCAGTGTGTGATGTTATGTTCTTAGAGCTTTTTATATATTCCAGATACAAGTCCCTTATCAGATATATGATTTGCAAATATTTTCTCTCATTCTGTAGGGTTTGTTTTCACTTGCTTGATGATGTCTTTTGAAACCCAAAAGTTTTAAATTTTGATGTAGTCCAATTTATCTATCTTTTATTTTGTTGCTTATGCTTTTAGTGTCATGTCTACAAAATCATGAACTCAACAATTCAAAACTGAGCGAAGAACTTTGAGTATCTCCAAGGAAGATACACAAATGGCCAATAAGCACATAAAAAGATCCTCAACATTATTAGCTATTAGGTCGATGGAAATTAAACCACAATGTGGTATCACTCCATACTGATAAAGGAGGCTGTGATTTAAAAAAAATCAGAAAAAAAGAAAGTCTTAGCAAGAAAGTAGAGAAGTTGGAATCTTGTGCACTGCTGGTAGCAATATAAAATGGTGCAGCCACTGTGGAAGACCGTTTGGAAGTTTCTCAAAAGATTAAACAGAGAACTACCATATGACCCAACAATCCCACTTTTATCCAAAGTGGGACTTCAACAGATGTTTGAGTAGGGTTTTCCACAGATATTGGTACACCAGTGTTCATAGCAATGGTATTTGCAATAGCCGAAAGATGGAAACAATCCAAATGTCCACCAACAGATGAATAAAAAAATGTAGTAAAAACATACTAATGGAATATTATTTAGCCATAGAAAAGAATGGAATTTTGATATATGTTACAATGTGAATGGACTTTGAAAACATTATGCTTAGTGAAATAATCCAGAGATAGAAAAATATTGTTTTGCTTCACTTATTAGGTACCTAGAATAGGAAAATTTGTAGAGACAGAAAGTAGAATACAGGTTAACAACAGCTGGGGGCTGAAGAGAAGTTATTGTTTAATGAGTACAGAGTTTTTGTTGGGGATAATGAAAACATTTTGTATATATAAGATAGTAGTGGTTGTTACACAACATTATAATGTATTTAATGCCACTAAGTTGTACATTTATGGATGGTTAAAATGATAAATGTTATATATGTTTTACTACAACAAAAAAGAAACTATCACCCAATCCAAGGTCACAAGTATTTATCTCTATGTTTTTTTTTTTTCTAAGCATATAGTTAGAACTCCTACATTTGGGTATTTCATGTATTTTTAGTTAATTTTTGTACATACGATAAAAGGTATGGGTGCAATATCATTCTTTTGCCTGTGAATTTCTGATTGTACCCTAGCCATTTGCTGAAAACCGTTCTTTCCTCCATTTAATTGTCTTGATATCCCTATCAAAAAGCAATTGACCATAAATATGAGCGTTTTCTCACATTTCTGGACTTCTTGATTCTATTCCATTGATCTATAGGTCTACTATTATACCAGTACCACACTGTCTTAGTGATTTTAGTTTTGTAGTAAGTTTTGAAATAAGAAAGTGTGAGCCTTCCAACTTTGTTACTCTTTTTCAAGATTGTTCTGGCTATTCTGGGTCTCTTGCAATTCCATATGAATTTTGGATCAGGTTATCAGGTTTTTTTGAAAGGAAGCCCACTGATACTATAAAAAGGATTAAGTTGAACCATGAAAATGTAATATCCTTCCATTCATTTAGATCTTATTTAATTTTTAAACTATGTTTCATAGGTTTCACATTACACATTTTGAACTTAAATTATTAATTATTAAATTAAATTCATTTCAAATTGTTTTATATTCCTTTTGAGGCTATCATAAATGAAAATGCTCTCTTAATTTCTTTTTTGGGTTGTTCATTGCAAATGTATAGAAATGCAAATGATTTTTGTATACTGTTCTTGTGTCCCTACAACTTTGCTGAACTATTTTATTAGTTCTAATAGTTTTTTAGTAAATTACTAAAGATTTTCTTCATATAAGAACACATCATCTTTGAATAGAGATAGTTTTACCTCTTTCTTACAATCTGGATGCCTTTTATTTCCTTTTTTTCCCCAGGAAAATTAGACCTGGCCAAAATCTCTAGTAAAATGTTTAATTAGAAGTCGTGGGAGTGAACATCACTTTCTCGTTCCTGATTTTAGGGGAAAAGTATCCAATCGAGTTTTTTTGCTATGATAAAATGCTGGATTTTGTCAAATGCATTTTCTTTTTTTTATTTTAATTTTTATTTTAAGTTCTGGGGTGCATGTGCAGGATGTGCAGGTTTGTTACATAGGTAAACATGTTCCATGGTGGTTTGCTGCACCCATCAACCCATCACCTAGGTATTAACCCCAGCATGCATTAACTATTTTTCCTAATGCTCTCCCTCTCTGCACCCCCAACAGGCCCACACAACAGTGTGTGTTATTCCCTTCCCTGTGTCCATGTCTTCTCACTGTTCAGCTCCCACTTATAAGTGAGAACATGCAGTGTTTGGTTTTCTATTCCCATTAGCTTGCTGAGGAGAATGGCTTCCAGCTCCATCCATGTCCCTGCAAAGGATGTGATCTTGTTCCTTTTTATGGCTGCATAGTATTCCATGGTATATATGTACCACATTTTCTTTATCCAGCCTATCATTAATGGGCATTTGGGTTGATTTCATGACTTTGCTATTGTGAGTGGTGCTGCAATGAACATATATGTGCATGTATCTTTGAAACAGAATGATTTATATTCCTTTGGGTATATAGCCAGTAATGGGATTGCTGGGTCAAATGGTATTTCTGGCTCTAGATCTTTGGGGAATCACCACACCACCTTCCACAGTGGGTGAACTAATTTACATTCCCACCAACAGTGTAAAAGTATTCCTATTTCTCCGCAACCTTAGCAGCATCTGTTGTTTCTTGACTTTTTAATAATTGCCATTCTGACTGGTGTGAGATGGTATCTCACTGTGGTTTTGATTGCATTTCTCTAACGATCAGTGATGTTGAGCTTTACCCTCAAATGCACTTTTTACAGCCATTGAGATGATCATGGCTTTTGTTTTGTTTTTGAGGTTTTTTTTTTTTCTGTCATTCTATTAAAATGGTGAATTATATTGATTGATGTCAAACCAATCTTGCATTCCTGGGATAAATCACTCTTGGTCAAAATGTATAATCCTTTTTCACATGTTGCTAAATTCAGTTTGCTAGGATTTTGTTGGAGGATTTGGCCATTTAATTTTATAAATTGCTTTTAGGTATCTATGAAGATAATCATGGATTTTCTCTTTGAGGTCTTAATATAGTAAGTTATATTAATAATTTTCTTAACATATAAATATCCATTAGGTAGTGATGTACTATCTTTTTCATATTAGGTTGGAATCTACTTGCTAATATTTTATTTAGTATTTTTGTTTCAATATTTATTAGTACCTGGGGTAAAAGAAAATAATTTAAAAGAACGAATAAGAGCTAGTATTTGCTAGCACAACAGGGGGACTATAGTGAGAAATAGCTTAATTGTACATTTAAAAATAACTAAAATATCATAGTTGGATTGTTTATAATACAAAGAATAAATGCTTTAGGTGATGAATATCCCCATTTACCCTGATGTGATTATTACCCATTGCATACTTGTATCAAAATATCTCATGTAACCCATAAATATATACACCTATAATGTACCCAGAAAAATTAAAAATTAAAACATTTAATGTATAAGTAAGTTAGTATTAGCATTAGCATACACCTACTAGGTCCCCGCAAAAATTAAAAATAAAAAAATTGAATGTATAACTAAAATTAGTATTAGCACACACCTACTATGTACCCACGAAAATAAATTTAAAAAAATTAATGTGTAAGTAAAAATAAAAAATTTTAAAGTATAAGTAAAGAAAAATTTAATCTATAAGTAAAATTAGTTTTAAAATGCAACTAGTTTGCATTTAAGTTTTCAGGTATACCTTTGTGTTTATTTAATTATACTTAAAATTTTATTCAAAAATTTGTAATATTCATTTTTTATCTTTTCCTAAGCCCTACACAACTTAAGTAGTATTGAAGTTCTCTATTAAAGTAATTGGTTAGATTCACCTGTGAAAATTACTTGTCTTAGTCCTTTTGTGTGTGGGAGAGTGTGGGCAACAGTGGTTATATAGCTGGTGAAATAGACCTTTTGTGTATATTTCTTTCCATCAATTAATTTAAATATAATCTTTGTGTAATCTGTCTTATAAACCTATGACCTTTGCAGATATCTAGCATAATTTTCTGAATATTATACAATTTTCAAAATTCATTTATGTTTCTTTGACATTAATACTATTTAAGTAGCCACTACTAAGAAATAATTTTTCATTATTTGTTAATAGTGACAGCTGCATGCAGCACTTTAGTCTCAAGCTGCAGTTTGGCATATATTAGCAACAGAGAAATATGAGCAGCTCTCACGAATCCAGGATATTGCCTATCTCCTATTCATACACCCCCAACTTAAGCAAAGATTATCTCCACAAGCCTTCAGGAAAAGCCACATGGTTCTGGAAATTGCTCAATACTGATGAAGACACCCTGTGTTGTTGCTCATGTTTAAATTAAATTTTAAAATCAGGCTTCAGATTAGGAACAAGGAATCAGGATAGTAATGAGACAATTTTAAATAAAAAATAAAGATGTAAGAGTTCCTGGCATTGATAATTAAGAAAACCTATATGGGAAGATCAAAGTATCCTCCTTTCTACAAACTGATTTAGGGCCCATTATTTTAGGTTCCTTTTCTTGAAGCCACCTGCCCCAATATGTTGTTTATATTTCTATCAGGTTGCAAAATATTGAGACTTAAAATTCTATAATTTTATTATTCTCATTATTTTTCTTATACTTTAATAGATTCATGTGTTGCTTAACAATGGGGATACATTTTGAGAGAAGCTCATTAGGTAATTTCATCATTGTGCCAACATTATTGAGTGTACTCACACAAACCTAGATGGTATAGCCTACGACACACCTTGGCTTTATGGTCTAGCATATCACACCAAGGTTACTAATCTTTACAGCGTCTTATTGTACTGAATACTGTAGGCAATTGTAACACAATGGTAAGTATTTGTGTATCTAAACATATCTCAACATAGAAAAAGTACAGTAAATGTATGGTATTAAAATCTTATGGAACCATTTTTATGTGGTTCATTGTTGACCAAAGCATTATTATGTGGCTTATGATTGTATTATTGTATCAAGCCTGTAAACTCAATATTTAGTAATCAAATTTTCAGTAAGGACGTGTCATTTTTTAACCCTTGATGGTTTTCAAAGGTAACACTATCAAAAGTCTAAGAAGAGTGACCCATGGATCCAAACATTCACCAAAATTTGAAAAAAAGAGAAACAAAAGTTTCCAGAGCAGCCTGGACACCTGGGATCTGACAAAAGTTTGAGGGAGGCACAGAAAGGAAACTGGAATTTCACTCAAAGATCAGGGATAACAGTTGGTGAAACAGTGTGGGCAAACAGGAAAACTAAGCTAGGAAGGCTAGAAGAAAATAATTAGGCTTGAGAATGATCTGGTCTGGGTGGCACCTTGAGATACCTGAGCTGCAGAGGTAAAATTTTTTGGTAAGTTAAATCAAATTCTGAATGAACAAAAGAGGAAAAATTGTGGACAGAAGAAACCAGTGATAAACAGTTGACATCTCCTCACCCATGTTTAGCATTTTTATTAATTTTTTAATTAATTTTCAGCATTTTATTTTATTAATTGAATTTTCTCAATCATACATCCCAGTAATTATTGTTAAATTTTTTAGACTTTCAGTTAAATTATATTTCAGTATTTCTTAATATTACTCAATATTAGCATAACTTCAAATCATTTTCTTCGACAAAACAAGAAAGAGCATGTGCTCATTTCCCTTCTCTCTTCTTACCTACTCTACCCCACTCAAGCTGTCCAAACACTGAGTTAATATAGTCTAGGATTTTAATTATATATTATTATAACAGTTTTGTTATTGAAATGAATTTATTGAAATGTATTTAAATTGCACATCACTGTTTCCTTTGTTTCTGTAATCCAAAATTTCCTCTCCAGTTTAGTTTTTATTGTGCTGTAGTATATTCTCTATATTCTCAAGTAATTCCTTCAAAATGGCCTGAATCCTTGAAGTATAAAAATATTTTACTTTTTCTTCACATGTCAGTGATTGCTTGTCTATGTACTGCATTTTTCCTAAGAACCATGATTCTATAGCAATAATGCTTTATTATATTCAGTTTTGTAGTTGGGAATTGTTTCCAGCCTTATTTTCGTTTGTTTTGCAGATAATTTTTATTTTCCTTTCAAGGTGGTTTTACCATTTTATCTTTATTATTGCTGTTTTGTATATGTCTAGTTGTGGATCTTTTCCATTCATTCACTTTAGCACTTGGACCCCTATGCTCTGAAAACTTGTGTTTTGTTCAAATGTTCAGTTTTCTAATTATTTTTAGTGCTTACTACATTTTCTCTTTTCTTTCTTTCTGCAACTCCTAACCAAAGGACATTAGGACTTCCAGATTTATCTCCTAAGTTTTAATTTTTTCTTTTACATTTATAATTTCAGTGCCCTTTTTTTGGCTATATTCTGGGAGAACTCGTTAGATTAATCTTTGAGCTCCATAAATTTGGTTGTATCAATGCTGCTGTGTATTGAGATTTTGTTTTTTTGAAGTCATGTTTTTTTTAATTTCTACAATTTCTAGCTGAGTTTTTCATTGTTGCTATTGTTCTTGTGTTTTTATATTTGTTACAGTTATTTAAACTTATTTTTCTCTCTTTGTTCATTAGCTTTGTTTATCAGGTATTAGCACTTCTACTTTTGAATCAGATACTGATTATCTTGGTAGTTTTTCCCGCAAATACTCGATGATTTTCGCTTGTATGACAATATTTGTACCTGAGATTCCCTGTTGGCCTGTGTTTGAATACTGTAAATGTTACCAAAGTCTGCTTTTAATGATTTTTTCTTTTTAGGGAAAAGGTAGTTCTACTATTAGGTGGGGTTTGCCAGATACTTATCTCTAGG
Source organism: Homo sapiens (assembly GCF_000001405.40). Lineage (NCBI taxonomy): Eukaryota > Metazoa > Chordata > Mammalia > Primates > Hominidae > Homo > Homo sapiens. The sequence goes on along the minus strand of NC_000002.12, from coordinate 198,793,586 downwards.
ATATGAATGATCCGTATTTTCGCCACTCCAGGCACAAAACTTCTTCAGCCTAAACTCCTACAGTTTCTGTTCCAAATTGCTACCATTTCTTTTTGAAAGTACAGAAAGATATTCACTTGGCTGGTCTTATCATGACATCCCAATAAATCATCCCAATATCACTCTGGCAGCTCCTTTTCTTCACCATATATGTCACCTCTAAGTTGATAGCACCCTTAGGCATGCTGTTACCTATATTTAAAGTCTTTAACTATACGAAAACCTGTGGGATTATTTTCAATCTGACACCAGTTATCTCCTCTCATTCCAGAACTGCTCATGGTTTTCTAGTTCAAGGAAGATACTTGTCTTGTTTTTCAACACTAATGTGTGCAAATATGTATGAGTGTGGGTGGCAGGGGATAGGTGGTTGTTTGTTTATATAATTTTACTAGAATTTTAAACTGTCAAGCATATTTTCCATACTGACACACATACACACACACACTCACATACACACACACTAGTTATATATAACTAGATATTTTTTTCCTAAGAGATTAAGACTGGCAGGAAGGATGAGCTATATGCTCAGATGACTTTTGTAATCTTTTGGTAACCTAAAAATAAATCCTTATTTTTTTTTCAACAATAGGCTTTATTTTTTTAAGAGCAGTTTTAGATTCACAGCAAAATTGGGGTGGAAGGTACAGAGATTTCCTACATACCACTTGCCTCCCATATGCAGAGCCTCCCTAACTATCAACACCATGCACCAGAGTGGTACAATTGTTCTAGTAATAGATCCTGACACATCATCATCACCCAATGTATATTAAGTGAACACTAATGTAAACTGTGTACATTCTACAGGTTTTGAGAAATGCATAATGACATGTTCCCATCATTATAGTATCATACAGGACAGTTTCACTGCCCTAGAGATCCTGTGCGCTCTGCCCATTCAGCCCTTTTTCTTCACCCCCCTGGCCACCGCTGGTCTTTTTACTGTCTCCATAATTTTACCTTCTCCTGAATATCATATAGTTGAAATCATACACTATGTAGCCTTTTCAGATTGGTTTTTTTACTTAATAATAATCTTAAAATCTTTAGCTTTTAAAATATTAAGTAGTGTTGAAATACGTTAAGAAATATGAATATATTAATATAGAAATACAAAAGCATTAAGTAATGTAAAATAGGATTTCTTGCCCAAGCTGCAGGCCCACTTTATTTTGGCCTCCACCGTACCACTAAACATTTCCCTATTCATGGAATCAGTGATGAGACTAAGGTCAGGGATGGAACGAGGATTGGTGGTCCACCGAGGGGCAAGACAGGCACAAGATCCCATATTATACAGGATAAGCTGCTTATGCTGCCATGGTAACCCATCCCCAAATTTCGGTGGCTCGAAACAGAAATGGTTTATTTGCCACTCAAGCTACATGTCCACTGATTGCAGTAACTCAAGGGCCAGAAATGTAGAGCAGCCACCAGCTAGAATCTGGCTGTTCCCTGTGTTTGAGGGAAAAAGAGCTTTTGCAGGGTCTGGCACTCTCGATGAAAGGTCCTGGTCCAGAGTGGCACACATGGCTCCTCACAGCTCACAGCCACTGGTCATGTGGCCTGTTCCACCACACAGGGGCTAACAAGTACAATCCTACCCAGAAAGCATGGGGAACTGGAGATATTTCTAAGCAGCACTAGTGAATAAGTTTGTAAATCAAAATGTACACATGACATCAAAATAGCTGTAAAATATGAGGGTCAGCATTTTTTAAATATTATGTGCTGTCATCACTTCTTGAGCAATCTAATTCAGACTCTTACCTTCCTTTAATGTTCATCTTAAATAATGCAAAATGATATATGTTGAGATATATGTTTTCTTAAGTCAGAAAAATTTTAAGAACCAACGTCATAGAACAGTTTTGCCACATTTTAGGTATGGAAGAGGTTTCAGGTACTATATAGTTCAATCCAGCTACTTTTAGCTATTGTATACATTTATATGTAAGTATGTATGTACTTATATCTGTATATATATGCATACATACACAATATCATATATATTATTAGCATTGTTTATTTCTTTAGAATCACATACACACATAGATACAATGAATATTAAGTATCATATAAAATGCTTTGCTGAGTTTTGTGGATGGGGTGCTTATTATTTATATACAGTATATGCTGTTAGAAAAACACTTAACTATTTGCTCAAATACAGTCTGTTCTATCTGTGCACAATTTAGGCTGTATAATTAGCCGGGGTAAAGAGAAAACTCATCTCCTTTAGCTAGATTGACAACTCTTGAGTTGATTCAAGTTAGTGTCTTAACTAAGGTTTTCCTTCATTGTGTTCTCATTGATTACATATTAGTTTTCTTGCACAGATACCTAGAACTAGATGAGACTGAATGAAAAGTCATTGAGCTTAAATATTATCAGTAATAACAACGTATTGCTACAAAATATTAAACAATTAAAAATTAAAGATAACATTTTGGTCAAGATGAAAGTCACCAAAGTAATTCAAATATTAATATAATAAGACCTACCATTTGATGTGAGAAAACTAAAACTTTGGGAGATTTCATGGTTAGTAAATATCAAAGGAAATAAACTCAGACTAATGTAACTGCAAAGTCTCTATGTTTTCACTCTGCCAATGTGGCAGAGACAATACTGGGTGCTCCTGGCCTTTCCTTTTGTCTTGAGCACGGGGGAAGACCACATTTCCTAAACCTCCCCTGAAACTGAGACTGTATGACTGAGTGTGGCCAATGGTACGTGGGTGGAATTCATGCATGCCACTTCCCAGGCTTGACCATGAAAGTCCTTTGGGGACACTCTGGCTTTCTTTTCCCCCTGTTCCAGCACCCTCTGAGCTCATGTGTTCTAATAGGTACAAAATGGCAAAGCCTCAATGACCCTGGGCTCCTCGACGTCATACCAACCTTTATTGCACATCTACAGAGAGCAAAAAAATGTTTTTGCCACTGAGATTCTGGGACTATTTTGTAACTGTATTATAATCTAGTCTATCCTGACCAAAACATCTAGTTTAAGATAGAGTTTTGACCTTAATTCAATTGCAATCATATGATTTGCAATTGTAATCAAATATCTATACAGCTGACATAAATGAAAATTGAATCTGAACTTTTGGATTCTAAAACTGTTGTAAGTTCATTAAATATCATTTTATCTAAACACACTGATCCTTCTAAGAAATTAATTTTTGGATTCTTGGTGATGTTTTTAAATATTACGAAATCAAGTCAATATTCATAAATTCACAAGGCTATAATATTAATTTACTTTTTATCTTAGACCCTGTAACTCTTTTTACAGTTAAAGCAATGGAGTGCTGTCACTGAATATTTGTTCTCTGCAAAGTCTGTAAGTACTTTCCAATGAGAACCATCTATAGAATTTTTGGAGAAACTGGTAAAATTTGTTAACGTTTATTTCATTCTCCCACCCTTAAATAAGTGCTCAAATACATTATCTGACATAGACCTAATCTGATCCAAAATGCTTTGTTTGATCCAGTGATCATTCAGTCTTCTGGAGTTATATCAATTTTATGACACAAGAAGGGAAAGAACTTCAAGACTTTCCTGCTGGAAAGTGACAGTCTTTTTGCACAAAAATACTTCCCTACATAAGAGCTCTTACTAACAGAAAACAGAAGAAAAATTTGCATTTTGAGTGCTATGGAAAAAGATCCCCATGCCATCACTTGCTTCTGAGCAACATACTGTACGTGTTACCACATGACAATTGAGGCACACACTCATTTGTTAATCTCTGCAGTGGCAGTTCTTACCCCTCTGGATAGAGCGAACCTTATTCTAAGAGGTTCATCTGAAACAAGTTAAAGGTGATGGCCTTAGAATGACTACAGATCAGAACCATTTCTGCTTCTTTTAGAATTATGCATGTGAACACATAGAGCTACCGCTAGCTTGTAAGATGTCTTTATGCAAATAAGAAAAGACACTCCCTCTGGGCAGGCAAATCAGGAAAGAGTCTCCTGGAAGTGCACCTTTGTGTAGTGTACAAACTATACAACAGCACACGGTGGCTCCATGAACATATTGAAATAAGGTCTTGATGACTGGCAAGGTGTGATATTTCTTTACAGACTATTATTAGTGTTAGTCAGTTCCAAGAAGGTCAGAATATAATTACAAAAACTAGATTTCTATTTCCTTTATGAGGATTCATGGGTGACATTCATTTTAAGTATTGCTGCTTAGGATAGCTAGCACCTCCTGAGAAACTAGCTCATTCTATTGTGTGCTTTATTCTGGCTACTAAGAAGTAAGAATCCAATTTTCGATCCACTCCATAGTAGTCAAGATCCTTGGTTGCAAGTGATAGAAATCCAACTCAAACTGACTTGAAGAAAAAGGGAGATAGATTGGTGCAGAAAGGCTCAGAAAGCAACCTTAACATTATCAACATTTTAGGCTTGATGATTCTTTGTTAGAGGGGTAAGAGGCCATCCTGAGCATTTTAGAATGTTTAGGAGCATCCCTGGACTCTACTGAGTGGATGCCAATAGTACCATTCCCCCAGTTGTGACAACCAAAAATGGCTCCAGACGTTACCAAATGTCCCTTGGGGGATGAAATTGTGGTCAGCTGACAGCCACGGGTTTAGATAACTGAGAAGTCCAGGTATTTAAATAGCTTCAAACAGGATCACATTCATATTCAAATGTAAAGGCCCCAGAGCAGGCTCCTATTCTACCAGCTCAACAACTCTGAGGGTTGTGGTGGGGTGAGAGAATACCTCTTTCTGCATACCTCCAGCAAAAGCCCCAGGTAGCACTCTAGCTGTCAGGGATTATATCAGAAGCCTACCCAGGAGCCAGAGGTGTGGTCAGCCCCTACTTAAACTATGTGAGAAGGGGTTTACTTAAAGACAAGAAGTGCTTGTTTAAAAAAAATAGGGGATATAAGGCAGCTGGACAGGTAAAATCCACAAATGTCTACTCAGAATTTACATATTTATTAAACATATTTATTGAACAACTTATTGGTCGCGGGAATATAGTGAAATACAGATCACAGCTCATACTAGGCATTTTGCATATTATTTCTCAATCTTATCTTATTTTCTAATGTCCTCATTTTTTATCTTGTATATATGTCACTAAGCTTCTTAAAAATATTTTCTGGAAATAGTGGACTAAATTATAAGTAAATATATGTTGGAGCAAAACACTAGTTTTAGGAGGAAGATAAGTCTATCAGTCATTCTCATTCTGCTCCATGCATTTTAGGATGACTTGGGCTTCCTTCTTAATTAGAATAGCCAATTGTTAAAATATGTTCTTGTTTTCAAGTGGACAAGACACAGCTGATAAAAGTCTTGCTCATTCCCTGCAAGCGCCACTTAGTCCTCTCTCTCTTCCTCTAACCCCATTAATAGTTTTTAAAATATCTGGTAGGGTTGTCGTATTTGGTTAGTACAAATTATGACAGCAAGTGACAGCAATTTCAAAACATCAATGTCTTATATAACATAGAACTTTAATTCTCTCTCATGTCAATGCCTAGAGTTAGCCATCTAGTTTTAAAGACCTGGCTTACAATATCAGGGGTCCAGTCTCTTCAGATTTCTGATTTAATGTGTGAGTCTTCAATAACCAAAATTCCATGAGGGACCAGAATGGCTCCTGGAATTATAATTATTATTTTCTAGCCAGTAGGAAGAGGCAATAACTCTTTTTCTAAGAACATTTTCTAAAATTACCTATACCACTTCCACTTACATTCCATTGACTTAAAAATCACTCATGTGGGCCTCCTTACTTGCAAAGAGCTTCTCTTACCAAAGAATAAGGGTAAAACTGGTATTGGAGAATAGCCAATAGTGTCCACATTAGTGGGCTCATTTCCTGGTGGCTCCAGGTTTTACAAAGTTGGCTCTGTGTCCTGGAGAGGTAAGAGATAGGGGACAAGGTTTTGTTAGGATTCACTCAGAAAAACAGAACCAATCTATGTTTTATGGGAATTAAGGGATCAATATGGAAGTTAGGAATTGCAGCAATGTGGAAATTGCTGAGTGAAGCTTAGGAAGCCAAGCTGAGATTTGGAGAAACCATTACTGAAGACTCATGTTGAGTAATTCTCAAAAGTTTCATGGGGAAATTGCTGAAATTCTCAAAAGGCTTTGAAAAGTTTCCACTAAACATCTCGGTGTGTATAGCTAAGTGGATAGTCCCAAGAAGCCTGAGACATTTCAATGACATCATGTCTACCCATATGACGTGCTGCAAATGCCTAAAAATGTAGGCTTCTCACTTCTGTCTTCCACATCTTACTTGCACTCCTTTCACTGGCAAGCTTTGACCTAAAACAATATAAGAAGGGAATTCTGGGAAATGTGACCTTTGGAGATAGAAATAATGATAAATTAAAAAAAAAAAATTAAGCATAAGAGGCCTGAGTATCATTTATCCCCAAATTTGTCTCATTAGGGTTTATAAGGATCCCAGCAACAGCCTAGTAATTAAAATGGATCATATTATTATGAAAGATAGATTATATTATTACGACTTCTGATGTCCAGCACTCCAGTGCTCTTTTTGTCTGTCTAAGTAGAGATTACAGTGTAGTGTGAGAATGTACAATGACAGGCAGGCCCAGATTCTGCCACTCACTTAAACTACTCAAAATGACCTATTCACCTCTGAGAATGTGCCAAGCAATGTGCTAGCCATGTGACCCCAGGCAAGTCTTCTTTAGATCTCAGATCCAGTTCTTTCACTAAAAATGAGGTAAACACTTAATTTCAGAATAGATGTAATGATACAATTTAAAAAGTGAATGTAAAGAAAAGCACCCAGGCCATGTCTAATATGAAGTCAAACTTCATTTCGCTCCTAACTCATTTTCATCAAAAATCATCTGCAGTCAGGATATCATGATACTTAGTCCAATACCAGGAAGATATACCATTCTGAGCTAGCACCAAATTAGTTTTTATAGTAAGTCATACATTTTGTTAAAGAAATATTATTTATATTATTTTAATATAAAGATTTTAAATAGTGGAGCCAATTCCTTTCTGTGAGTCTAACTCTTTAGCACTAGGAAGAGGCTGGAAAACCATCTATCAGAGATGTGGTTATAATAATTCTTGCACTGGACCAGCTGAATTCTACCAGAGGTACAAACAGGAGCTGGTACCATTCCTTCTGAAACTATTAGAAAAAGAGGGACTCCTCCATAACTCATTTTATGAGGCCAGCATCATCCTGATACCAAAGCCTGGCAGGGACACAACGAAAAAAAAATTTCAGGCCAATATCCCTGATGAACATTGATGCAAAAATCCTCAATAAAATACTGGCAATCTGAATCCAGCAGCACATCAAAAAGCTTATCCACCATGATCAAGTCAGCTTCATCCCTGGGATGCAAAGCTGGTTCAACCTACATAAGTCAGTAAACCTAATCCATCACATAAACAGATCCAATGACAAAAACCACATGATTACCTCAATAGATGCAGAAAAGGCCTTCAATAAAATTCAACACCCCTTCATGCTAAAAACTCTCAATAAACTAGGTATTGATGGAATGTATCTCAAAATATTAAGAGCTATTTATGACAAATCCACAGCCAATATCATACTGAATGGGCAAAACCTGGAAGCATTCCCTTTGAAAACCAGCACAAGAGAAGGATGCCCTCTCTCACCACTCCTATTCTACATAGTATTGGAAGTACTGGCCAGGGCAATCAGGCAAGAGAAAGAAATAAAGGGTATTCAAATAGGAAGAGAGGAAATCAAATTGTCTCTGTTTTCAGATGACATGATTGTATATTTAGAAAACCGCATCGTCTCAGCCCAAAATCTCATTAAACTGATAAGCAACTTCAGCAAAGTCTCAGGTTACAAAATCAATGTGCAAAAATCACAAGCATTCCTGTACACCAACAATAGACAGAGAGCCAAATCATGAGTGAACTCCTTTCACAATTGCTACAAAGAGAATAAAATACCTAGGAATCCAACTTACAAGAGATGTGAAGGATCTCTTCAAGGAGAACTACAAACCACTGCTCAAGGAAATAAGAGAGGACAAAACCAAGTAGAAAAACACTCAATGCTCATGGGTAGGAAGAATCAATAGCATGAAAATGGCCATACTGGCCAAAGTAATTTATAGATTCAATGCTATCCCCATCAAGGTACCATTGACTTTCTTCACACAATTAGAAAAAACTACTTTATTTCATATGGAACCAAAAAAGAGCCCATATAGCTAAGATGATTCTAAGCAAAAAGAACAAAGCTGGAGGCATCATGCTACCTGACTTCAAATTATACTATGAGGTTACAGTAACCAAAATAGCATGGTACTTGTACCAAAACAGATGTATAGACCAATGGAACAGAACAGAGGCCTCAGAAATAATAACGCCACACATGTACAACCATGTGATCTTTGACAAACCTGACAAAAACAAGAAATGGGGAAAGGATTCCCTATTTAATAAATGGTGTTGGGAAAACAGGCTAGACATATGCAGAAAACTGAAACTGGACCCCTTCCTTACACATTATACAAAAATTAACTCAAGATGTATTAAAGACCTAAATGTAAGACCTAAAACCATAAAAACTCTAGAAAAGAACCTAGACAATACCATTCAGGACATAGGCATGAGCAAAGACTTCATGACTAAAACATCAAAAGCAATTGCAACAAAAGCCAAAATTGACAAATGGGATCTAGTTAAACTAAAGAGCTACTGCATAGCAAAAGAAACTATCATCAGAGTGAACAGGAAACCTATAGAATGGGAGAAAATTTTTGCAATTGATACATATGACAAACGGCTAATGTCCAGAATTGACAAGGAACTTAAACAAATTTACAAGAAAAAAACCAAACAACCCCATCAAAAGGAGGGCAAAGGATATGAACAGACAGTTCTCAAAAGAAGACATTTATGCAGCCAACAAACATATGAAGAAAAAAGCTTACCATCACTGGCCATTAGAGAAATACCAATCAAAACCACAGTGAGATATCATCTCATGCCAGTTAGAATGGCAATTATTAAAAAGTCAGGAAACAACAGATGCTGGAGAAGATGTGGGGAAATAGGAATGCTTTTACACTGTATGTTTATTGCAGCACTATTCACAATAGCAAGACTTGGAAACAACCCAAAAGCCCATCAATGATAGACTGGATCAAGAAAATGTGGCACATATACACCATGGAATACTATCCAGCCATAAAAAAGGATGAGTTCATGTCCTTTGCAGGGACATGGATGAAGCTGGAAACCATCATTCTCAGCAAACTAACACAAGAACAGAAAACCAAACACTGCATGTTCTCACTCATAAGTGGGAGCTGAACAATGAGAACACATGGACATGGGAAGGGAACACCACACACCAGGCTTTATTGGGGGGTGGGAGCTAGGAGAGGGATAGCATTAGGAGAAATACCTAATGTAAATGACTGGTTGATGGGTGCGGCAAACCGCCATGGCACATGTATACCTATGTAACAAACCTGCACATTCTGCACATGTATCCCAGAACTTAAAGTATAATAATAAAAAAACTCATTAAAAAAAAAAATTTCACCTGCATGAACTGATATTTATCTGCCTCACCACAACCCCTCAACTCATATGCTGAAAAGTATGCTAAATTTAGTGTAAACCTTATTGAGTAAATAAAAATATTTAACTCTTTGGAAAAAAGCAATAATTCTTGCACTGATTTGTTGGCAAGAACGTTTTAAAAGTAACTTTAAATTCTGAGATCTGAGTGATCTTTCTAGTTTCTTTATTTTAATTGTATCTTACATTTTTCCAAATATGATTTCTGGATTTGACTTTTCTATTAGTGTAAAGCTGATTTAATTTTTTTGAAGTGGAGAAAGGAATAGGTGGGGGGATGTACTGGTAGAAATGATAAGAAAGAGTTTGAAACTATGGGGTGGGGAAAGAAGTTACATAATAGAATGAGGCTTTCTTCTGTGGACCATCAATTTTACTCAGAGGTTGAAAATTCACATGTCTCCAGGAAAGTAGCATATAAGAGAAGGTGACTAGGAAGGGACGGTGGTGAATGGGTTGCCCGTGAATAGTCAACAGTGGCAACCCAGCCAGTGTCCAGCTCAAGTGGATTGTCACATCAGGATTTTGTACTTTAGAGCTTCTGTTGAAACCAGTACATTAAAAACAAAATCATATCTGTGAATCATATCCAGACTACAGGTCACCAGCTTTAAAGTATGATTTTAAACTTAAACCAGCAAGTGGAATACATTACTAAGTGCTACAATGTAGAGGAATGTTTCTCTAAACTATTCCAGTCTTAAAATGATTTGTAAATTTTTGCTCAGACGTCTGAAAAAAATCATTCTCTTAAGGTTATATCAGATATTTTCCCCTTTTGAAATTTGTAAAACAAAGCGATTTTCTAAGTAGAAGGGGAAATAGGGTTACTGTTAGACACTGTGCCCTCCTACTGTGCTTATAGAGTTCGAAGGGTGAAAACAAGCTGACTCTTCAGTTGCTACCTGGCATTGGCAGCAAGGCTGGGCTTCAGGTTCCTGTGCCCATGGTTGTCCCTGCACAGGAAGATCCTGCTGATTCTATTTCATATTTGTGGGTATCGCCCCTGCAGCTAAACCTAACAGGTGTGGCTCTTCACCATGAACTGGGTAATAAAAATATGTTTGTAGTTTAATCATGGTTTATAACCTATTAAATTTAATGTTTTATGCCTCATAAACCTGGTGGTGTTCTTTTGTTGGTGGTTGTTGCTGTTGGTCTAAGTGCATATTTGCCATGGATTTGTATAGATTCCTCTAGCTAAGATGGGCTAGCTATTAGAGTTACCATACACCACCAAATTTCAGTATTAGGCCACATTTGAATTACATGGTGGAAGGCTTTAATCTAAAAGGGTTTAAGTCTTTAAATTCAAGTGTACGATCACCTAGAACTCAGAGACATATAGTTAGTATTCGTCCAATAAGATCCATTGACTAAAAAGTTTTGTTTGATTTGGTCACTTCTCAGACTATTGGTTCTTGAATGAAAACATTGGAATCAATCATTATAACACTAATGATGCTGGTTATAGCTAAGATGCTGGTTCATTCTGTTTTAGAATACACCATGGCATAAGTAAGCATTCTATGGATCTAATCATGAGAAAAATACTTAGAAACAAAAAGGCAATTTAAATCTTAAATACATCTATTATTTCTTTCTTAAGGTTTTGATTGCCAAACGGGCAAATGATTTCTTCATTCAACCAATTGGAAACTGATTTGATGGAACATTAGCTCTCCAAGAACTCTTAAAATTGTTACATAAAGATCAGTGCCAGTAGATTTTGCTTCAAACAAAGTACCTCTTCTCTCAAAGTGAAAATTAATATTTAGTATTTTAAAAATGATTTATTTTCATATCCATCCAAAGAGTAGTATAAAAACACTTGGAATTAAGAAAAAGTTAAATCATCTGGCAGTTCAACATTATGTGATTAACATGAGATTCTTCTTTCTTTCTCTCTCTCTCTCTCTTCTTCCTTTTCCTTCCTTCCGTTTCTTTTTCTTTTCTTTTCTTTTCTTTTCTTTTCTTTTCTTTTCTTTTCTTTCTTTTTCTTTCCTTTTCTCTCTTATTAGAGTCTTGCTCTGTGCCCAGGCTGGAGTGCAGTGGTGTGATCATGGCTCACTGCAGCCTCAAACTCCTGGGCTCAAGCAATCTTCTCCACCACAGCCTCCTGAGTAGCTGGGACTACAGGCATGTGCTACACACCCTGCTAATTTTTCTTTGCAGAGATGGGGTCTCACTGGCTTGCCCAGTCTGGTTTGGAACTCCTGGCCTCAAGAGATCCTTGCACCTCAGCCTTCGGAAGTGCTGGGATTGCAGGTGTGAGCCACTGTTCTTGGCCCCAGTGTTCATTTCTTTATAGGTAATTCTGAGCCTATTTCTTTTGCCTCACTTATCACTTTTAAAAATAATTATATTCTATCCATGAATTGTTTATTTTAAATGACTAGTAAAAATGAAAAAGCCCCTAGGAAAACATGGATAAACACTATCTTTAAGGAGACATCAGTCTTCCGAATTTTAGATTAACCTTGAATATAAAACTAGATTCAACAATCTTAGTGTAGTTGATTGGTCAATACACTCTAACAGTCAGCTTGCTGCTCTTCCTCCAGGCAAAATGAGTTATCAAAAATGCATAGAAAATAAAAAAACAAGAAACAGCCACTGGAAGTAAGATGTGGTAAATATTTACACATAAGAGAAGTAACATGGCTTTCAAATCAGAAAGGCAGGAATAAAAATCCTTAGTTTGCCACTATCTATGCTCTTGGACAAGATACCTAAGCTACCTGTCTCTCAGTTTCCACATCTGTGAAATAAAGATAATAGTAGCTAAATTTCAGGATTGTTTTGCATTTTAAATCATGGAGTCTTTGTAAGATGTTACATAGAAACGTCATAGATACTCAGTGAATGTTAATGATGATGATTATTACTCATATTTATGACATTGGGCAATTAGTGTACACAGTACACCATTCTCCCTAGCCAATGACATTTTGATGAAACGAAAATATCAGTATCTTGAGTGCTAGTTGAAACTCATTTAGAAACAAAATACAATGAAAAAGGTATATGATACCTTTGGGAAATAAATCTCAGACATTTGTTTTGATTAAGACAATGCTCTGGGAAGTGCAATAGGAGGGAATTGTAAGTTCTGGGGTTCATTTTAACCTTGCTTTTCTATTGAGAACAACAGGCAACGATCATGGTATATGGTGTGCATATGATGTGGCTTCTCTTCCTGCAGTGATTGGGCTGAGGCTAGCTGTGACACTCAGATGTTAGCAATATGGGGTCACATTTGAACTGGTGACTCAGAGGTCAAGTGTTCTATAGTCTATCAGTTCCTTTAGTCAGATTCTGTGTCACAACTTTATTTTCTTAAATAGAGAAAGCTAGCCTTATAGGAGCCATTTTAAATGAATAAAACATAGTGTTCTGTATAGCAAATTCTATTTTAAATAACACGATCTGGCCGTTTTCTGGTTGGCCTAAATAATTGTGACCATTACTAATTTGCAAGGAGATACAATAGAGTTAATATGTTTATCACTAAATGAAACTTGATGGAAATCAGTTATTCTTAGATTCCCAAGGCCTCTCAGGATCTTGCAAGACCAAACTGAGAACTATGAATTATCTTGTAAATATGTAGAAAGATCAGAGAGTTCAAACATTTAGTCGATGAAATACCAGCTAAATCAACTTTTACTAAATTTTAGAATTGACATAGGGATGTACAGTCCTAACTAGCAAACAACAACAGCAGCAACAATAAAGTTATAAACAAACACACACAAAAAGGCGGGGGTGAAGAAATGGATAAGTATATCTTTAATTCTACCATAAATCTGGCTCCTATTCCGTGACAGCTACTGGGATGAGTGCTTTTTTACGTTCTCTCATTTAATCTTCAGGACAACCGTGAAAGTGGATATTATTATAGCCATACTGGTGAGACTCAAATGCTGGCAGTGTCCAGCATGCAGTAGGCACCTAGTGAATAACAATAAATATGAAGCCCTCTCTTCTACTGAAATTCCCTCCTCCCCCAAAATGATAACTAATGCCTTTGTCAGGATAGCTACTTCTGCAATGAGGATGATAGTTTGACACTTATTGATGGGGCTTTTCTCTTTTTTCTTTCCAACCTAGCATATTACTTTCTTCCTGACTGTCCTGAGACCTCCACCTGCCTAAGAACATTGGAGGAGAAAAAGATTTGTCTCAGAACAGTGAAAAATTAAAAAAAATACAGCTTCTGATATTTAAAATATCACATACAAGAGAATACCTTAGAAACCCAGATTGTCTTAAGAGAGACTTTTTTTTTCTAGATTAAATCTCTCTCTGTTGCCCAGGCTGGAGTGCAATGGCTCAATCTCGGCTCACTGCAACCTCTGCCTCCCAGGCTCAAGCCATTCTCCTGCCTCAGCCTCCTGAGTAGCTGGAACTACAGGCATGCGCCACCATGCCCAGCTAATTTTTGTGTTTTTAGTAGAGACGGAGTTTCACCATGTTGGCCAAGATGGTCTCCATCTCCTGACTTCGTGATCCGCCCACCTCGGCCTCCCAAAGTGCTGGGATTACAGGCATAAACCACTGTACCCAGCCTTAAGAGAGACTTTTATAAATTCATTTGCGTCATCCCGTTGCAACCCATGAAGAAGATGTGTGCTCTCTAGCATAGGAAAAAAAATTGCCTACAGCTGCTCTTCTAGAGAGGGGTGGTATAAGGGAGAAAATCAATCCTGTGTCTGCCTACCACAGAGTAAGTCTGTGAAAGAGAAGAGAGAGAAATGAGAGAAAGTTATCAAATATCTGTTCTGATTTCTTTTTTCTCTACTGTGGCTCTATGGGATTGACGGGCAGAACCTGGAGAAGAAAGGACACCCAATAGACTTCTCCAAATGGAACTCTTGAAGAAAGAGGGCCAGGAAATGACTGGAAAGGTCCACCTAGGAAGAGGGTAGAGTGGGGTGGCCAGGCAGGCTAGCTGGTGACCAAGAGAGGGAACCACTAAGTCAGAGGAGAAACACTGTGACTTGAGGTCTGCATCCAGGGAGAGCTGATGGGAAGCTGTCTAGGTGAAGAAGAGATGACCCTTGAGTTAAAGAATGGATCATTAGCTCACCAAACAGATATTTGAGTGCAAGAGGCCAGTGGGACAGAGATCAGTTGGACAGCACTCCACCCATCCACTTGTTCTTTGTCTTAGGAAAAGCATCAAGAGTTAGGAGCAGGCTATCTGAGAGACTGGGCCTTTTTATCCAATCTCAGAACTGTTGATACATTTAGAAATTCCTAAGTATTAAGCTTGGGAATAACAATTTTGTTCTTCAACCCAGCAGATGTGGGCTGAGAAGGTTTACTTGCAGATGAAAGGAAGGATTGACATTTCCTCAGCCTTCCATACATCGGCATGAGTTAAAGTTTGACACTATGACACTTGTAGTCCATCTGTAAAAATTGTCCTTAAAAATGAATGCTTAATATTTTGTTAACTTATCATTGCAGGATTTGCAGCCCCTCTTCCATCTTCTCTTTCCCAGGTCACTTCCAGTTCCTGGGTATCCCAGGGAAGATAATCTTACAGGTGTTCACAAATAAGTCTCATCAGAAGTGGTCTCACTGTGTCATTTCTCTTCTGCTCTGTATCCTTAGGAGTTGGGTACCTGACCCCAGCTAAACATTAGAGTAACCTAGAAAACTGGAAAAGCAGTATCCACGCTGGGGGTACCAAGAGTTAATGGGTCTGGGTGAGGCTGCAGACGTAGATATGTCTTAAGATTTCCCCAGGTGATTTTTACGTGCAGCCCAAGTTAAAACCACTGCCTTAGTGTACTGTGCCGAGGCATCCAGCTCCAGGGAAGCTGTGTGAAGGTTCCTTACTGTTGACAACAGGCTGACAGCTGGCCCATCAATGTGTCTTTCCTGGGCATTGTTGCTACTTCTGCCAAATACTGCCCCTTCCTTTGGCACAGCCACTTCACACTGGCCCTTCTGTTTCCTGCAGTAGTGCTTCTGATGTGCCAGCCCTTGAGGGACCTAAATTATGCTTCACCATACAGTAAGAGGTTGAGCCAGGGTTCAAACTGCTAACACTAACTTTATTACTGGTGGTCTCTACAGAAGGAAAAACAAGTACAATTTAAGAGAAAAGGCTCAAATCAGACTATGTTTTCAGTAAGTACAATGATTAGAAATGGGCCATATATGAGAGGACAGAACCACTTAACTACAGTGATCATTCTCCCCTCCTGAGTCTGTGTCTGAAGGGGATACAGCATCACCCAGGACTCAACTAGTCAACTAGAGGACCACTACAAACCACTGTGGTAGTTAGTGGGAGAACATTCATTCAACAAACTGCAAATAATAACAAATTGTAGGTGTGAAGCTCTTAGCTAGGAGCTGAAAATAAAATAAGTAAGACACAACTTCCTGCTTTCAGGAAACTCATGTTTGTTTGTTTATATTTTCTAATTTTATGAACAACTTTCAAATTATTTAGTCAACATGTACATTTGAAATATTTTCATTTAATTTGTATGGGAGCATCTAATAGCATACAGCTGCACTTGTTCCCAATGAGATTCAAAGTAGTTGCCTTACTTACAAATAGTCTTCAAAATAAGAACATTATGACATACCCTGGCAAACTAAAATGTGTATAGAAATAAAGTTTTATAAAAATAAATGAATGCTGCTAGCAAGTAGTATATTACTCGGCCCCACCCTTCTGGAAGTTCTGGGAGCTGATTACATGATTTAGTTCAAACTTTCAATAACCTCATAAAAGAATCCAATCCACAAACTGTTTACAGCTTTATTGAAGGAACTTAACCTTTCTTATTTTATAAAATAGGTAAGAATTCTGAGAGGAAAAGAACTGAAGAGAGCAGCAATTGGGAAAAGTCAACACATATAAAGTATCGTAATAAATGTTGTTTTCCAATGGAAGAGAGTCTAAGGTAATTTCATAAGTTATTCATGAAAGTGGAGTATCGAGGTCTGTGGCCTATTAAGAACTCATGATCACTTCAACTATCTTGCTCTAAGCCATATAAATCAACCAAATTCAGCATGCGAAAAAAGCTGTCATGGGAACACTAGTCTACCCTGAAGTTAGCCATCCCTTCATAACAATAGCTGAACTGATCTGGAGCTGGAAAAAAGCCACGGGTGGGGCACCCACTGATAGATTTTACAAGATGCCACACGTATTGAAAACTTGGTAATAAAAGTATATAAAATTTTAATCTTCAACTTTTCCTTTAAAAAGGATGGTAGAGTAAATAGGGAAGTGAGGTGAAAATGTGTTTTTAACAGTGTCAGGAAAGCAAGGGATTTTAAGTTCAAGTCAGCTCTTTTGAAGATATTTTAAAACCAAAAACAAACAAGAAAGATCTTGACAAATATTACTGTTCATCTCTCTATCCTTAAGTACAGGGTCTATTGCTAAGACTGCTAATGCATTATTTACAATAAGGATGAGTCTTTTGATTTCCTATTTTGTAACTTCTGTTTAAGTTTGCACAGATATCTGTAATTCCTAATAATCAGGTATCCTTACTTCTCAGTGTTACTTAGCTAATTTTATTTAATAGTTATATTTGTAGTGGGGATTCACTGGATGATGAGAGGATTGAAACCAAATTTTTAAGAAAGTTTCATTTAATAAAGTTACTATCAAAATAGGAGTTACTTATCATTAACATTTTAAAAGTCCATAACCACTTAATTAGGCTTATAATGCTTAGTGCATATGCTTTATGATGAGGCTGATAGGGGACAATCGGCTTTCACACTAGTTGAGTGAAGTTGTGTCATGTACCATTTGTAAGAAGAACCATATAGTAGAGTCAAATTTCTATTATGAGCTGTCAGTAATCCTCATGCTGTATTTGCACACCACAGTTCTCACGAGGGTAATATAACTCATACTCCTAGTAGGCACTCACTTGGTGTGTGAGTTGAACTGTTTAAAGCAGTCTGGATGGAACATGCCCATTGCTCTGGAACATGCTCTGTCCAGCTATGGCACGTTCCACAACAATACCAGGAAATCTATTGGCATGCTGACTCTGCCCCTGAAAGCATTCAACTGGTTCTTCCAAGCCAGCCTGTGCAGCTTCATACGGCTATATAATAGCAGTTGCATGGAATAGCCATAGTTCTAACTCGGAAGACCGTTGAGGGGACTCTAATTTTTGGAAGAACCAAGTGAAGATAATGTCTCTATTTACAGCCTGCCTGCTTTTGTCTCATAGTCCATAGTAACAGCTAGGAAAAGCAATGGCAGAAAAAACTTAGTACCATCATTCTGTGAATTTTCTTTAAGATCCAGAAGGGTGAAAATAGGGCATTTTATCTAAGCTCAACCCGTAGATCAACATACATCAGTTGTTATGACACTGAACAGAAAATTCAAACACAGTAAAATGTGTGTAGGTATGACTTTAGCTAGAGTGAGTGTTGTCTCTCCTTCCTACTTTAATTCACCTTCTCCTGAATGATTTGCTGGTCTCAAGACAACATATTTTGTATTATTTTCATTCATACCCAATTCTCAGGGTATGATGAAATATATCCCCCTTTTTTCATTCTTGGTTATTAATGTGCATAAAATTGCATTTCCAACACAAGAAGTAGTAGCTATGACTTCCCCTTGTGAGAAGGTTCTGAAATTATAAGTTAAAACAATTTTTAGAATCTAAAAGAGAGTTAAGTGTACTATTCCAACCTCATCTTTAATGAGAAGTATGAGAAAGAGTGAGCCATCGTTTTCTGACACATTCTAAACTTTCACTTTCTCTCTTGGTCCATTGCATTATTTCTAAAGCTGCGGGAAAAAAGGTAAAAATTTATTGGGTATAATAGTTTGTTGTACACTGACAGCAATGGGTGAAGAAAAAAAAACAAAAGAAATAGTTTGTGTCTGAGAATAACAAATGTATACATATTTTATAAAAGTGTCTCAAAAGCAGATAAATGGAATAAACAGATTAAAAATTTAAGCATTTTTTTTTTAAAGTAGTCTGATTGAAAGCCTGAGGAAGGGAGAATGAAAGTGCATAAACCACTGGGTTAGACAGAAAAGTCATCTCAAACTCATTCTTATTGGGTCAGAAGCTTCCAAGGGAGCCTTCGTTGCACTAATTATCTCCCTGTGATTACTTAGGTGTGTTTCTTTGTTCCTGTGTTTAAGAGTGTAGGTTTACGTCACATCCTGTTATCAATCATTATTATAGCTCATAATAGTCACAATGGGAAATTTGGTTTATGAAACAAGGCCTTTACCCTAATTAGCAATCAGGTGAGCAAAGCTAGCTTTGGGCTTAAAAATGCTGTGTATCCATATACTATCAGCCAAACTCTACTTATTATCTGGCGATCAAGAATAGCATATAATGGAATACTTTCCCACCTTTGGCAAAGGCACTGGAAAATCTGGGGACTATATGCCAGTAGACCTAAATGCTGGAAGGGCATCTCCAGAGTTTGAATAGTTTTAAGAGCTGTGATAAATTCACTTTAATGGGCGTCACCAAGGCTTTAAGTGGAGAGAAGGTTCATAAAGGTTAGTCAATCCAAATCAATGATTTTTAGAAGTGGATAAAAATTACTGCATGTCACATCTGGGGACAGTGAAGTGTTTGTGAGATTGTTAAGCAACTCACATTACAGACACATACCAGGATTTTGATTCAGTAGATCAGCAATCTCTATTCCGAGTTCACTTAAATCCCCATGAATTTATGATCAGGAACATCTTTCATTTATTCACACATTCATTCATTCAGCAGCCATTTTTGGAAAGCCCGTGATGGGTAAGGCATTGTACTCAGGGTGGAGAATACAGAGAAAAAAGGGACAAGCCATCTTCACATTCAAGAAACTCACCATTCTCAGTGACCCATGACTTGAATATTGTTGAGTAACACTACACATTTGAAGTATATCTATTTTGATAAGAAATGGGATGGGGAAGGGAGACAGCTACATTTGCTATGGTGAATTTTTTAGAATGCCAGCAATAGGGGAAGCTGCTGCCTCCAGCAGGCTTCATTGACCTCATTTAATAACTATTCCTTTGTTTCCACAGTTCCCCGCTTCTCCTTTGTTGGCTTTTGGAAAGTGGGATGAACATTGTTCTCTCAGATGTGTATTTCAGCTTCCCCTAGTCCCACCTTTTTGTCTCTTTAAAAATATGCTCTATTTTACTTTGAAAGCAGAGATGCTGAAGGAGTTAGAGAAGTGACATGAAAAGCTTTTAAGGAAAGAAATTTCAAAAATGTATTGGCAGCAATGACTCTTACCTACTTTACCTTGACAAAACAAAATAAAACAAAACCCCAAAACAACAACAAAAAATCATGCCAACATTCTGTAAAGCAGTTAGCTCTCTGATCAACAATACAGAATTGGTGACAGTCCCCAATAGCAGAGGAAACTGCTTGTGTCTCTGAGTCGCAGACCTGTGCTAGGTAACCCTGACCACTCTGCTACAGCAGAAGTGCATGAAAAAAACAAAACAAAACCAAACAAAACAAAAAAACAGGAAAAAAAAACCGATTTTCCCCCAGCCCTTCACATTGAGATTGACCATCTTAAGTGCTTTACCCTCAGAGTAACAGAGCTTGAACTGTCTTTTCATTAACTATCCAAATTATTTAGATAGTAGAGAAATTGCACTTCAGAAGTGTAAATCAGCTTTCTAAGGTTGTTATTGTAGTAAGGTTTACGTGCTCTTCAGCATTAAGGCATCAAGGTAGGCATTGAAGAGACCGATGGAATGAATGATAATTGTACCTCAGCTGCGTTAGATACAGCTGAGGCCAGGCACACCAAGGTAATCTGAGTATTCTGTGACTTCATTGGGCAAAAAGCTATACAATTATTTTTAATTTATTAAGAAGAAATGGACGATTAAATATAAACAAATTCTTACTCTGCTTACGCAATCAGAAGTATATTTAATATTAAGCTTAAATATTAGTAGACCTAGGAACAATGGGATTCTGTTGCTTTATAATTCTCATTTGTTACTGTACAAACAATAAGTCCTTGTATTTTACTTGCATGGAAAAAAGAGTAAAAGAAAATAACAGGTATATGTAGAATTTTTCTTTTTTATAAAAAGAAACAATAACTTCCAAGGTATTGTTTGGTATCCACACTGAATAGATCTAATCTTAGTTCTCCTTTTATAATACTAAACATTAAATAACTTATTCTTAATAGAAGTAAAACGTCATTTTTATACAGGATTAACTCTGTGCACATGCTCCTACATAGTATACAACATAATTAATGATTTGTACGCTGCAAACATACGTTAAAGAAAAAACATAATTTAAAATAGTGACAAAATACTTGATTTTGGATTCTTGAGCCCACATCCCTTAAAGAGTAGTGCCAATTTTCACAAGAGAGAGCTTGAAATTATAAGAACAAAATTAATTTTAATTCACTTTAACTAAAAGTCTACATATTTGAATATATACATATGTATCTTCCCAAGATCATTTTTAGGAAGAGGGAGAACATATAGGAAAGGAAGGGAAACAAACTCCTATTAAATGTCTAGTACAAGTTTATTTTTTATCCTCATGGCAATCCTGGGATGGTGGTTTTATTATCCCTGCTTTAACAGAGGGAGGACTTGAATCTCGAGTTAAAGTAATTTGCTCAGGATTGTAAGGTAAGTGGTAGGAAAAATAATCACTCTCCAGAGAGTCGACCAAAGTTTTCCACTGTACCTACCTCTAAAACTCTGGTAGGACATTACAATGTAAAAGGACAGATTTTTGTTTTTGTTTGTATGTCTGTTTGGTGGGAGGATATAAGGTTAGAGGGCTGATGATATTTTGGGTTCATTGTCTAGAGACCTAAATCAATCAGTTTCTTTTCTTCCCTAGCATGTGAGTAACCAGAGATGTGAGTAGGAGAAAGTTCCATCTTTCTTGTAAATTCTTTTCTAATAATTAGAGTAATAGCTCCAACTCGTGTAACTGATTTGATATTAGGAATAGTTCATTTAAATTGTGTAATGTCATCATAGACTCTAAATTTTCAAATTATATGTTATCTTAATAACTAGCGTCAGAGAAGCTGTATCGTTCTTCAAAATATAGCTTTTTTCCTTCTTTTAAAATGTGATTTTCACAATGGTTTTTAATGGCTTAGTGGGAAGACTGCCATCTACTGAATCAACAATACCTTTTCATGTACCACCTGAATAATTCTCAAAATCAGTACTATATAAAAGTTAAAGTTATATATATGTATATAATATATGCACATATATATATAAAGTATACATACACATATATGTGTGTGTGTGTATGTGTGTGCAATGTTTATGGACTTTAGCCCTGAAAATGAAATCAAGTGAGTAATCAATTTTATACACACACATATATATAATCAATATATATGTGTGTATATGTATATATATGTGTATAATGATGGTCATTGTATTTTTTCTTTGCATGTTTACCTGTGACTCTCTCTTAGACCCCAGATATGCAGAAAATGTATTCTTCAGATTTTCAGACATTTTGCTAAACAAATCTCATTTGTATAGAATTAGAATTATTTATTCCAAAGAAATTCTAAATGTGAACCTAAATCTCTGCTTTTTGTCAGGTCTTGCAGTCATGCAATATTTGATGACCTAAAACACTTTTTTCTTTGCTTGCTCTCTCCCTCCTGTCTCGGCTCCCATCTCACATTTCTCTCATAAACCCAGAGGAGGAAAGTAGAATTTTTCGAGGTGATTTTTTTACAACTTTTATAATTACTTCAATTTCATTGTGAACATAGGCCTGATTGTCTAAAAAAGTCTGTGCTGCTAAGTTGAAAATAATATTGAAGGATGATTATTCAGGACAGCCTATGTCCTTCAGACGCATCATTATCCAGTCAAAAGAAAATTTTACTATTTCAGCTTAATTGTAATTAGTAACAAAATCACTAATCATGTGGTCTTTTTGTGGAATATGTGCGTGCTGGTTTTTTCCCTCTTCTGCTCAGGGACAACCCAGCTCAGGGAATCAATAGGCAAACAGCACATTCACTCCTTTTACTGAATATCCCATTTGTTTGTTTTTGGTTTCTGGGGTATGTCATTTTTTGAGGAGGAGATGAAAGTTTGCTCTGAGATCTTCATTCAGAGGAGTTGTCAAATTATAACTTATTTTCTTTTCCTTATCCCAGGACACCAATAAGGAGACAAGTGGGTTCAGTATGGAAAGTCTTCTATCTATTTGGTTCCATAGATATTACCTTTCTCTCTCTTGGTATCCCTGGAAAAATTCCATAAAGTTAAAAACATCTATATTGAGGAGGGGCATTAAATAAATGACTGGGTTACCAAAATCTATCTTTTAATATGAGGTTCACTGTAATCATAAGGAGACATAGTATTAAAGCTTGAAAATTATGAGAAAAATAAAAGACATGAAAAAAATCTACAGTATTTCTTCATTCTAATTAGTTTCAATATATGTTTACAATATGTGATAACTAATATTATGGTATATAATGATAATATATAATAACTGATACAGAGCATGTATAACAAAATTGATTATTAACTTGATTTTATTCTCATGGGTAGTTAAGTCCATAAACATTACAGATAGAAGTCAATGTTAAAATATTTATGCCTGTAAAATTTTGTGGCTGCAAAACAATGTTAGCAAAACTCCTATTTGTAGTGCTTTGGTTACAAAGGTTACTTATGTTGTAGCTTCCCAGAAATCCCCCAAACTTCCTCATATATATCTTTACAATTATAGTTTCCCACCAAAAGTTCAAAATGGGAGAGGAAAAAATAATTGCATTCGTATTCACAGACTTGTTGGAAACCAAGATGTAAAAATAGATAAGATACAAATTATTCCAAAGTAAAGCTATTTTCATTGGGAAAGACGAGACATTTTCCAGGGCAAAAAATAGAAAATATAAATTTGATATGGTTGAAAGAAACATTTTAAAGTTGTTGAATTTTTAAACATTATTTTGCCAAACAAATATGTTGCCCCAACTATTTAAGTATTTAAACACTCTTAGTGTCTCTGACATACCTAGGATTATCACATAATTGAAAGAATGACAGAGAATCTAGAACAGCAATATGTAAATATATTCAGTTCAAATATCTGATTGTTGTTATTTTTCTTTCATCTGTAAAATATAGAACTTTGAAGGTTTAGTCCTTGAGGTCATGTTCAGGTCTCTGATTCTATGATTCCATATAATGTCTTGAAATCATCATAAACATCATCACCTTTATCCTCAACAGAATCATGCCTCTGTTCCTATCCACCTGCTTATAAATAGAATACTCACTGCCCTCTCTAGCAGCTCAGTTCTCCTGTGTCAGTCCTTCAATAAATAGAAAGCCAGTGAGTGTTTCTGTATACTTTTTACTTCTAAGAAATGAATGCCACAAAAAAAGGAAAGAAAAAAATCTAGAAGTCTACAAGTACAAACACAAGATCAGAAATGTCTCTCTTTGAATGACTGTTCTCTCTCTTTATCCTGAGCTTTCATCTTCTATTGGATTGTTCTTTTGGTTTTTCTCAGGGGTTTTATTTTCTTTGTTCTTTTCCATATGCCTTTGTTCTCTATTTACTGCCCTTTTATAGCACAAGCGTCAGGCTTGCAATTATTTTAGCTCCTCCAACATACGTTTGACTTTCACCACCACCGTTTGTTCTTACCATCACTTGTGTCAGCTTTGTCTTCATGCCCCCATGAGCTGGTCTTGTTTGTGGGACTTATGGTGTGGGGGCAATTGAGGGACCCACCCTGTGAAGAAGAATGGAAGTGTGATTTTCTTGAGGTTTGAGTATAGGACTGGAGATTAGGAAATGTGCATGTTTAAACTCAATTCTGCCAGGTAAATAATTTGTCAAAATATAGTTTAAAGTTTATGCAAATATTCTTTTTCTCTCTTCATTGTAAACAGCTATAAATGTTCTGCTAACATATCTTAGTAGGGAGATAATACTAGTTCATTCTACTAAATTCACCAGGTTTCTTAGTGCCTCTTAAATTCTGTTTTGGGGACTAAGGTTACTATGAAGAGAGACTTGGAGGTAGGGGGGAAGCTAGTCATAGTTAGTGTCAATTATTCTACTTAAAATTATGTAAATATAACTCTGGGGCATTGCTTTCCAATGGGATTTGTGCTGTAACAATAGGTTAATTCAATCTTGATTAAATCTAGTCCTGGTTACCATATTAACTAAGAAGACATATTTAAACAAATTATCTAAGTCCTAACCAGGCTTCATAATAATGCTAGGGTTAAAATATAAAGGAAATATGCTCCTTTTGTTTCTTTGACCTATGACAAGGGACAAAGTTTGATGGAAATATTAATGAGTTTAGCTTTCTGAACCTAGTTCACAAGCAGTGTTTGAAGGAGAAATTAAAATGTTCATTGTCTAAGTGGTGAACAAAAATAGGAACTTTTAAATTATGAATAGGGTTAACATCTGTTGGGCAAACTGTTTGCTTAGCCTTATTTTAACATTTCGCTTCCTTCACTACTCCCTCTGTCTTTCTCACACATCTGGGAATGTGGTGAGAGCACCACAGAAGCAATTATAAAGGCAGAGTCCAGTTAAGGACCCTGAATTTTCCATTTTTATCCTCTGCTGCAACATAGGGATGTCCCAAGAGTGGCGTGCATGGACTTCACAAGAAGAAATGTCTAGATTTAAATTATAAATAAAGCCAAAGTTGCAAAACAAAAGAGAGACTTTGAAAAGGCCAGTGGACACACACACACACACGCGCGCGCGCACACACACACACACACACACACACACAAAACTATACCCAAGAGTTTATTTAAAACATGTTATTAAAGATGCTAAAATATTTTCATTTGAAAGACAGTGTCTCATCTACAGAGGAGAAATATTTCAGAAACGAGTTAAAGTTAAAAAATGTTAGTGAAAACAGGTTCAAACAGGCAGGATATAGAGGGCTATATCCTCTATAGAGGATATATCTAGGACAGGGGCTGTGGTGTAAAACAGCTCCGGGTTCCGATCCTGGCTCTGCCACTTCCTGGTGTTGCCTGGAAGCAAATCACATAGCTTTTTAAGGCTCAGTTCCTTCATATGCAAAATGACAGTATGGTGATAATATTTATTTCATAGCATTATGGAGAATTGAATACCATCATGCACGTGTATGCTTATCATAGTGCTTGACAAGTTATAGGCGTAAAATAAATATTACTAATAGCTGTTGGTCATAATGAGATTGTTGAACGACCATGTTTACTGATGATATATGGTGACAGCAAGAGAACATATAATAAATCCCAGTAGTGAAGCTGTGACAATGATTTTTATGATGAAATGAGAAGCAAAGTAACTTGCCAAATAGCATATGATGGGACCATACACTGAAAAAGGAAGTATTATCTGCTTTTGTGCTGGAACAGTCGTGGTTAAGATAAGTCCATTGCTGAGTGAGGAAGCATTCCGATAAGGCATGACAGTAGTCCATATTTTCTCACAGTCCCCAGATGTGCTACTGTGTTTTAGAATTAGACCTGAAGAGACAATAAATGACTGTGATGGCTCAATGTAAGTTAAAGCACCAATCATTCCTTTTCAATCATTCCAGTCTTGTCTTCTCCAAAAATTCTCTACAGGGTGCAGGTAAAATATTTTAAAAATGTAAAATTGATCATGGCACTCACCTAGTTAAACGCATTCAAAAAGTCCCCAATACTGTCAGTGTAAAACCCAAAGCATTCTACAAAGTCCTCTGCAATTGCCCTCATTGCTCCAGTCGCAACTGGGACCACTACCCTGCTTGTCCCACCCTACTGCAGCATTGGCAAGTTACCTGATATCCTGAGGTCTCTTTTGCTTCTATACCTTGGCTTATATCATATTCTCCTCTCTGAACACTCTATCTCCAGCCCTTGGATGAGCTAATTACCAGCAGTCTTTTAAGACTCAACCCAACTACATTCCTCCTTGGGGAAAAATTTCCTCTCTTTATTCTTTCTCACTTCTCTCCAGTTGTTGGGGGTACCCGGGTATATGATTCCCGATTCCCTTTTTCTGTGAAACTGTAGTAGAGTTCTCTGTTTACACATTTGTATTTCCCAAGTCCTCCCATTCATTTGTGAATTTTCAAGGCCACGAATAATGTCTTGTTATCACTTTTAGTATAATCTCAATAAATACTACTTGAAAAAATGAAATGTTCCTGTGACGCTCTTCTAAACCTGTCTTTTATATATCAAACTAAGGTTCATTGTTTCTGATTTTTAATTCCTTTGTATTAATACCAGCCTGCTCCCCAAAGTAAGACTTCCTGAGCTCTAGGACTTAAAAACGTAAATTGGGAACAAGCCTTAGAAAGCTATGGTACCTGCAATACATACCATAATATTTGGCAGGTGGGTAATTTAGCTTATTTAATCCCAGATTTAAGGAGATCTCTAAACAAGGACCTCAGGCATTATACTTGAAAACTAACATCAACATGGTTCTTAACCAAATGTTAGGAGTCTGAGTTTGCCCTTTACGTGAAAATATGTAGCATTCATTCATCAAGACCTGTTGATGTCTCATTCATCATAAAGTGCATTACTGGTAATTGATAAATATGAAATAGTGATAACAATGAGGCTAATCAAAGTCTAGTTTTAGATATAAGTTTGTGTTAAATGGAAAAGCTAACCCCCTGTGTCTACACTAGCATCTGTAGTGTGCCCTCACTGTTCTTGGCTTGACGACTGCTGCACATGACTAAGGGAGGGACCCTTCACAGCAGGATTACAAGGTTTTGTTCATTGTCCTCAGCTCCCTCCCAAACATCTACAATTACTCATGCAGCAAATTTGATTGCAATTTTATTGCACTATCAAGTTCTTAATTTCAAACAACATTCTAAAATTTATTTTTTGCACAAACTTGGATTGCTTTTTGCACCCTTAGAATTGATATTAGGAGTATATATTCCCAACTCTTCAGGTTCTTTAAAGAAA
Organism: Homo sapiens; assembly: GCF_000001405.40. Taxonomy (NCBI): domain Eukaryota; kingdom Metazoa; phylum Chordata; class Mammalia; order Primates; family Hominidae; genus Homo; species Homo sapiens. The sequence goes on along the minus strand of NC_000002.12, from coordinate 198,765,925 downwards.
AATAAGATACTTTTACAGAAAATATGTGAATATCTAAACTATAGGGGCAAAGGAGGTGGTTCTAACAAAAGATACTCCAAGAACACCTTTGTTATGTTGAGAGCGCAACTAAATATTTAGCAAGAACGGTTTATTGCCATTGACCTGATTCTATTATGCCTTTCAATTCATCTGATCTACAATACTCCCTTCATGTAGTGAAGTCCACGTGCAGAATGAATGTGTTCAGTTCATAGGAACATAAAACTATAACTATGTCCAATTGTATTCCATAATGAGAATAGTCATAAATATGAAGTCAGTCAAGACATTCAATTATTGACCCCTTTCCTTTGAAGTAAAGTGATATTTTAATTGTCCAATTGAAAATACAGTAGCTTATTTGTTCAGAATAAATTTGTATCCTATCAGAAGGCCATTCATTGCCTGGGAAATCTCATTTTCCCCCAATTGTGCTACTCAATGTGTTTAATCATTAACCTGAAAAGAAGAAATTCAGTTAAATAAAGGGAATCATAAGTCTTCATTGCCATTGCTAAACTATCTCTCATTAATGTGATGATGGTAAGCATTAAATGGCAAAGATAACTAAATAGCTTTCTTTTTTTCTGAAAAGTATAAGCTTAAGGTCCTCTCTGCAAACTGATGTTAAATACCAAATATTTCCTTAAAACAGTAGAAAAGGCCCTCTCCACCGCAAGTAAGAGGCAGATTGAAATTTAAAATTTAGAATAAAGACTTAGCTCTAATTTTTGGTATGACTCTTTGATTTATTATGTTTCTTTCAATGCAAGGTAATACAGTTTTGAGACATCAAAAATGTACTTTTACCAGGTTTCTTGGGATGCAAATATAAATGAAAACAATATTCAAAATCCAGATAGGTGAATCAGACATATTTACTAATTTTGCCTTTGGATTACACATGCTTTCAAATTGAAAAAAAAAAAGTGTTGGCCTCATTTAAAATAGTTTTATAATGCATATTAAAAACTCATTATTACTGGAAAATCTCATTAATAATTAAAACTAAAAATCAGATCTTAAGCCTACCTTAACCAGATGATATTATTATGAATATTAATAAAAAAACCACAAATTACATGCCAAAGGTGATCATAAACCTCTTAAATTTAGATCTTCAAATATTTGGTGCAAGTTTAGGTTACATTCTGGGTAAATACACACCTGATTGACTAATGAGACTTAAAGATAACTCTGGCATTTTTGCTCACAACAGCCTACATACTACAGAAGATTTCAAAGATGACAGATTTCTTTTGCTGTCACTATGGGTCCTGATATGCATGCCCATACACATATATGTGCAAAAAATATTTTTTGAAACACACTAATTGGGCACCTTCTGTAAGTTTCAGGTCTAATGCTAGATAATGAGAAAATCAAAATGACTAAGACACACCTTTTTTTCTTGAGTTCAGTGTAGTGGAGGAGACAGATATCTATATGGGGATAGGAGAAAGACATTGACATTGTAAAAACACACATGAGAATAAAAATTCAAGGCTAACTTTTATGTATTATCTTAATTACTTCATTTCTACAGATGAAATGTCCTCTGCCCTTTTTGTATAAATAGTGAAACAAATACTAAATTCTGCTTGTCCTTGTAGGTAGCTGGTGAGAGCTCTCTAAGAGATTACAGATCAGTGTCTTTAGGTTTCCTTTGAAGCCAGGTTTAAACAAAAAAATACTAGACCATAGATAGATACTACAAATGTTTGAGAATAACTGAATACTCCTTTTCACATACTCCCCTTCCCATTGTTCCTGTCTTCTTTCCCTCTGAATGGTTGCTTATTATACATATTTTTATATATCTATATATGGAGAAGATAGGCCTGAAAGCATTTTATGAAACATAAGATACCACAAAAGCCACAAGAAGAGAAAAAAAAGCTTAAAATAAACAAAGCTAGAACTAAATGTTCATATTTCACATACAGTAATTCAAGTGCCTCGGGTGTGATGGAATGGTAATAGAGCAGGTGAAAATGCAGAGGAATTGTGGCTGTCAAAGTACAGGGACTTCTTGAGAAATGGAAAACTTGCTTGTGGAAAGATCATTTAGTATGTTGTTAAGATAAAAGTGCTAAAATTTCAGTATGTTCAATGTGGGGAAATGACAACATATGTTTCATAACCAGTTACTTCTATTTTATTTAACATGATTTATTGTGATTTCCAACAACACTTTTTTGCATTGCCTTAATAAATCTTATGTGATTTGAAAGAGGCTATCCAGTGTGGGTTTATAAACCCTCTCTTTCCAAAGCTACCCCTTTTGAACTTTATTTGGAGGGGACTGTGAGTGAGTGTGTGCAGAAGGGAGATGGATATAAACATGTTTTGCTAAGCAATTTCCCTTTAATTAAAAATGTGTTTTGGATTTATATTTATTTACACTTGAATTATCAAAATGTTCCCTTGGAAGAATTTTTTCCCTTTGAGGCATCTTAACTCACCCTCCCGGAAGCCACATTTTGCCATAAGTAGAAAAACTCCACACCAAGAAGCTGGAGTTTTGTTCCAGACTCTAACCCTGCAATTTTGTGTGGGTTTTAAACTTGGCATAATGCATGAGCCCATCCCTAATCACAATCCATAATAGCACAGTGTGTGACAGTGGGAACAGAAGAAGGACTCTCCTGAAATATACCAATAAATCCACACAGGACGGTTGTCTGTGTTTCACTGTTCCCTTTGCCAACTGATCCCAGGAAAGGTTTTTCTCCAGCCAGACCCTTCTTTGTCCCCAAGATATTAGATAAACACAGATCTTGAAGCCTGCAAACAATGCATCTCAGACTTTCAAATTACTGGCCTAATTACAGGGATGTTCATCCCACTCATCGCTCACCATTTGTCCTAAATGTGCAATTCGCATGTCTTGCTTTGATTTTTGGGACCTGGAGTATATTCCATCTATGATATTTCCACACAGCTGCGTGTATGACCCATTGGGTTATTTACCTAACAGATACCTTTACTTACACATTTCCCTTTCACAAAGGCAGGGAGGGTGTAAAGCAAACATAACAGGATTTCCACTTATACCCATGAAGTTGGAGCTTCTTTCATTATCTTGCCTCTTTGTTGGGAAAAAAGAAAGTTTTTTTCTGAGTCATCCCAGTTGAGGCAAGCATTCATTTTTCTACTGTTAGTCTTTGATGGAGGCCTAGTTAATCTTGACAAAGAGTCTCTTAACTTTGCTAGCTTTGCTTCCTGTAAATGTGGCACAGCCGGTCTTTGAGATAACAGTGTGCTTCACCCCAGATGATGGCCTGAGGCCCTCTGCTTGGTTGTCACCCACAACCTCTAAACCACTGTAGGTCACGGCCCGGGTCTTTTGCTGCATCTAATGGCACATGTGGAGAATGCCAAAGCATCAAAACAATGAAAGTAATAAGAGCATCTTTAAAAGGTATTTGTTAGCACTCACCCCATAGACTTAACTATTATTTAAGGGAAACGTTATAATTGTGGTGAAATTATAGATTACCGTTTTTCTCAGACTTCCTACAGTTAACCTCTACCCATTATACTCCTATATTTGGACTAGTCCACTGAGCTACTTGGAGGAAGGCCATTAGCTCAGTGCTTACAACTGGAGTTATAAAAGAAAAAAAGAGAAACTTTTATGATAATTCTTATTTCATAAAGTGTCATGTTATTTATAGAAAAATGAGACAGTAAAGTATGCTTTCTTTTCAATCTGGCCTTTACTGCACCATGTAATTTATGGTAATATAATAAGTGATTTGAAAATAAAGATTTGAGACAACATTTCAGCATTAGTGTTTTTAAGACAAAACAAACATTCAAAATAAAACCTAAACCGCCAATGTGAACTCTATCATTAAATGCCTACTTTTTGCTAAATTTGTAGTTATGGCAGCTCAAAATCTCAAACTCTTCAATTGTGACCTCTTGCAAAGCAAAAATAATTGTATTATTTCCTGTGGTAGTAAGGCATTATGGCTCATTATATTTTTTCTCCCAAAAGTCCAAGTGGATTTGCATCGGCTGCTATTAAATGGGATTAATGAACTTGGAGGAATTTAAATAACAGTATGAGATTTCAGAGATGAACAAACTGCCTATAATATTTCAGGCTTCTGACTCTGAATTATTTCAGCTTTGTCTCATCAAGGCTCATTGAATCTTATTCCATTGTACATTTATAAATCAGTGTGAACTTTTTAGCTTGCATGAAATAAATTCAATTGAAAAGCTCCTTTCCTGCTCCTAGCATGCAATCTACTAACATACTATTGTGCCAAATATAAATGTGTGAAATGCTGTAAATAATCAATGCCAGGCAGTTCCTGAGATCATTAATGCTATGAAACAACTCTCACCTTCATTCATTATTTTTTCTGTCACTTAAGAAGAGAACACTGCATGTCTCAAGTCTCATGGTATGCTTTAAAATGATGAAGAGGAGAAATCCCTAAAGTGAAGGACATAGCAGCAGATGACCCTACTCCTCCCCAAATTCCCCTTTCTTTGTCACCTTGTCAAGATGGGTCATTCTAAAATGTTTTTATAGCATTCTTTGCTCATTTTACCTTTGAACCCTTAAGTTGTTCATTTGTCTTGCCAGCTTTCTAGATCTTATTCCTGATCCTACCTCTACAGTCAAAGAACCCTCATTATGAGGGCAAAAAGATCGTGCCTCATACCCCATTTTTAGGGGTAAAATTATTTCCTGTTACTTGGATTTAATAAAAAGTAAGACTTCTAGTTATAAATTCAATTAAAATATTTGTTTTTGTATGGATGCTAAAGCAATCCTAGCACCATCTTAAAGTTACATACTCACGATCAAATTTCTCCAAAATCTATTCTGGGCCAAGATTCTGCTTTCTCCTCTTGAGATGTGCCAGAAATACCTGTTGAATTCAATTGAATTGGAAAGGAATGTTATCAATTAGTGGTTCTCAAATTTGAGCACGCACCAGAAACACCTGGAGGGCTATTAAAATAAGATATCTGTGTTGGATTCATTAAGCCAGGAGTGAAACCCAAGAATTTGCATCTCTAACAAAAATCCCAGAATTTGCTGGTGCTGCTGGTCTGGGGAACCACATGTTGAGAACATGGGTGCATGGGGAAAGGGGGATAGATAACTCCCAGAGCTCTCAATCTTTTGTTTCTATGTACAGAAATATGCAAAATGTTCATGGTAGAAATTAGAGGGAATCTTGTCTTTTGTGACTGAATAGTAAAAGACACTTTGAATTTTTTGAGAGCGTGTCCTCAAAAGAAAATATGGGAATCAGTATATTCTATTGGTTTATTATTATTTCAATAAATTAATACTCGGATGAAGAGGTAGGTCTGACTACTTTATGAATTATTGTAGAAAAGAAAACTTCAAATACTCCAAGGAGCTTGAATTATTGGCTTAATTATAGAGTTCTTTAATGCAATTCCCTCATTTTGTGTGTGTGTGTTTTAATGACGCATGAACCTTTTGTGTGTTCTCTAGTAGTTAAAAGCAGGCAGGTATAAGGAGATATTAAAATTTGCAGCACCATTCAAGGTATTTCACAATTTCTGTATTAAGTGTCCCAAATAACTAACTGAATCTAACAAACTTTAAAGAAACTACATTCAATGTCAAGGATTTTGCCTCCACTGTTCATGCATGTTAAACGTGAACTTTCTCGGGTTCTCTGGGCCTTTTGGAAAGTCAAGCTCTTCATTGTTAACCACCCCTGAATTACCTTAATTCACCTTTGTGAGTTGCCCTGTGAAAGCTGCCTGTCATTAATTTGATTCCAAATACTAGAATGAACTCTGTGAATAGGCACAGTCTAAATCTTCCACCCACAGATCATGATTCAGACTGTAAAATGGATTAACCAAAGAAACCCACACATTTGCATTATCCACTTACATACCTCCAATTTATGAGATTAATAATCACAACACATATTTAGCACTCAAGGCATTCAGTATTACTCAGTGGGATCCCAAGAAGGAACACTGGTTCCTCAGCTTTTAAGTTGAGTGTCCTCATTGGTCTAAATATCTGAAATGGTTAGTGTTGTTTCAAGTTGCCAGATAAGCCACATGTGCTTCTTGGAAACATCTACAAATAATATCAAACCAGTTGTCACTGACTTCAGTGATATAAGAAGAGCCCAACCTGAGCAGAAATTCCTAAAAAATAACATCAGCAAATCTGGCATCACACAAAGGCCTTAAAGATTATTTGTATAAAATTTGTGAAGCCAAGGATTGAGGATGTTGTCCATAGAAACTGCACCCAAGTCACCTTCTCACCCCTTATTTCACAGTGATGTAAACTAGATTCAAAATAGTCAAACAATGAAGAGCCCAAGGTGTTTTCCTAAAGTCTTGCTACTTAGGGTGTGGTTGGTAGGTCTGCAGTATGGCATCACCTGGGAGCCCATCAGAAGTGCAACATCTAACAAAACCAGAACCTGCCTTGTAACAATCTCCAGTAATCCATATGCACATTAAAGTTGGAGAAGCATGTTCTAAAGCATTTGTTCTGAAAATGTGGGCTGCAGACCACCTTACCCAGCACCACCTGTGTTGCTTTTTAAAAATTCCTATTTTATTCACCATCTGGGTCCCATTTAGATCTCATTCATCAAAATTTCTGAGGGTGATGCCCAATAATTAGCATTTTTGAAAAGTACTGAAGGTTCTTGACACTCAAAATGTGGTCCAAAGATGGACAGGATCAGCGTTACTTGGAGCTTGATGGAAATCCAGACTCTCAGGCCCAGCCTCCAACCTGCCAAATCAGGACTTGCATTTTAGCAAGAACCCCAGGTGATTCCTATGCACATTACATCTGGAAATTCTATGTGCATAGGTGAATCTTATGCATACTAAAAAGTACTTTTCTAAGCTACATAATATTGTTATATGAATCGGAAAAATGAAACAAAAACTTTGTGATGTTCAGTCTCCTGTATCTTCAAATGGAAAAAAAAAAGAAAAGAAAAGAAACACACTCAACAACTAGGCCCACTCTTAACAATTGCAGGGCCTCAGACACAGACAATTTAGGCCCATATACCATTGGTATAAGTATTTAAAGGTTTTAAATCAGGCAAAACAACTATACAATAAAATATTCTCTGTCCTCCTGGAAGACCAGGTTTTAAACTTTTAGACTCCTTGGTCTCCAGTGCAAGAATGTGGTAGAGCAGAGAAAGCCATCCCCAGCCCTTGGCTGCATTCTGCTTCATTTCCCTTTGCAGCCCCAGCTCTGACCCACCCATGAGGCCTCAAGTACACTTTCTGGGACATACAACCTACACCTTGGCGATGCCTGGGCTCAGCTAGAGGCTTGGACTCTGACAACATGGTCTTTGTCCAGGAGAACAGATCCAGTAAAGAGGCTTGTGCATGCCTTGGAAGCTGGCACAATGTCTTTCAGGAAGGCAATTTCAGCTTCAGGTACTCCAAGTATTCTTAGAAGACATATGCGGCCGGGCACGGTGGCTCATGCCTGTAATCCCAGCACTTTGGGAGGCCAAGGCGGGAGGATCACGAGGTCAGGAGATCAAGACCATCCTGGCTAACACGGTGAAACCCCGTCTCTACTAAAAATACAAAAAAAAATTAGCCGTGCGTGGTGGCAGGCACCTGTAGTCTGAGCTACTTGGGAGGCTGAGGCAGTAGAATGTGGTGAACCCGGAAGGTGGAGCTTGCAGTGAGCCGAGATCACACACCACTGCACTCCAGCCTGGGCGACAGAGCAAGACTCCGTCTCAAAAAAAAAAAAAAAAAAAGAAGAAGAGAAGACATATGCTTTGGGTGGCATGTCCCCTTTGCACGCAGACAGCTAAACCTGTGGGGAAGGAGTAGACTAGGAAATGGTATGGAGCCCAGATGGGGGCTCCTCTTCCTTTAGTCGGAGGGGGTGGTGCCGCTAACTGGATGTGGTGACTTTGCTGCTGACCTTCCTATACCAGAAGGCCACATGGAATCTGGCTAAAAGAATGGAATCTGAAGTAATGCTTATCTAGTTTCATATCTTAGATCTAACACTTACTCTCTGTGACTATGAGCGAAAGTCACTACTCTCAGTTTTGTTGGTCAGTAGATGAGGTAATAGTGAGAAGACATTATAGGATTATTGTGAGAATTAAAATATGCATTTAGAACAATTAGCACAATGCTTACAACATGTAAACTCAATGAATGCCAGATATTACCATAATAGATTTTTATTCTTCCCAACACCACTACTTAGGCATGGGTCATACTGACAAAAGCATTTTAATATTTATAAATCACCATTTGTGATCATTCATGTTTTCAATCAAGAAGGCAACTTTCTTCATAAGTAATGAATGGGGCATTAGGAAATTTTTAAGTAGAAAGAAAAATCATGTTTTTAAGGCTGATTGTTTCCGTAGTTGTGAGAAAATGGTCTGATATGAATACAAACTAGTGCCGAGGAAAGCAATTAGGAGATGAAGAAGAATCAAAAACTGAGTTCGTTAGTGGGACAGTAAATACAGGGAGGAGCCCAATTCTGGAAATGTGACTAGAATGGAAACTAAAAGAGTAGTACCTTGGAATCTGCAGAAGGAGGAAGTAGATAATTTAAAGAAGGAGGTAAAAGACCACAGAGTGCTGAAGAGAAGTTGAGTACAATGAGGAATGAAAAACTAACCTTTGAACTTTGCAATAAGGAGGTAACTGGTGACATTACCATCAACCGTTGCATTTGAGTTGGAAGGAATGGTTAAGGAAGAAACAGGAGTTGAGTAGTGTTATTTTTTTCAAGAAGTCTAATTCTAATTCTAATTCTTCTAAAGAAAAGAAGAAAGGACAAAATCAAACAGCCTCTTTAGGGGAAGACAGGGCCAAGAGAAGACAACATGGTGTTTTTTTGTTGTTGTTTGTTTGTTTGTTTTTAGGTGTGTGAGAGGAGAGCCTTCATCTTATATATACAAGCCCACTACTTCTATCAAATTTGATGCTATTAAGCACTGGGAAACATTAGAAAGATAAAAGGAAAGATTCAAAGAAAAGGGATAAGAAAAGGAAGATTATAGATGGCACAGTAGCACCCCAGAGAACACAGAGGGATTCTGACCCTTGTAGTGCTGAAAACATGGGATGTTTCAGAAGATTTTTCTAATTGATTGTATTTACTCTGTAAAAAAAAAAATAAAGATCATCTGTTGAGGTTAAGGAGGGTGGGAATGGAGCAAGGGACAGGGAATCTTCTGCAGAATGTTAGGCAAAAAATAAAAATAAAATAAAAATGAAATACACCTTACAGGTAAATATCCACTTTGGATTTGGTTATCTGGTTATAGCTGGATGGACAGGCTTTTATATAACATTGATGGTGTAGATAATTGCCTCATATTTCCACTATCTGGGTAGATGCTACTTATGGATTTTAGATGTTTCCCTAGAGCTATGAGCTGTCACCATAGTTCATGCCTTACAATAGAAACTAAACAAGGCTTTTGGAAAGGGAGAAGAAATGTTTTGCATCAAACTTCATGACGTGCCATACTGCTAATGCGTTTTGAATTCCACACTCCAAAACATCTGGCAAGGCTCCCATGATTCATGCATCCATTGAGAGCTCCTAGCTCCAAATTTAGTTAAGTAAATTGTTGAGAATGTGTTTTAATTATATAAACGTGAGTTCCAAATAAGTCCAAATACTCTTGGAAATTTCAAACATGAATCCCATAAATAGTTTTAGATTTTGCCTGTAAGGCTCTTCAAGGCTAAACGATTATTTAATGATGATTTTAGTACAAAGAACATACCATTGAATTGCTGTGCCTTTAACTACTGTGAACATTGTTGGCTTACAGGAAATTTCCATAATTGATAATTGATATTTAGCATGCTTATTTCTGCCCCACAAGGAAATATGTATACACTCAAAATATTTTGTTGTGTTTTGAGTAAATTTTAAACCTTGAAACTTTTGGCACTATGCCTAGAGTAATTGTTTCCTAGTGAAACATTTTTCCATAACAATAATTAAATTTGAATTTATGAAAGTGTTAAGGACATTTTAACATTAAAACAATAATTAACTACAAGGAAGCTAATTTTACATTTACTCTAAATGTTCAATTTCTACATTATTTTATCTTTATTTATTGAGAGACCTAGAGCAGTGCTTCCTAAACTTTAATGTGCACAAAAATCCCCTGGAAGATATTGATAAAATGCAGATTCAGATTCAGTGGGTCTGGGTGGAACCTGAGGTTCTGCATTTCTAGCATGCTCCCAGTGATGCTGTTGCTGCTGGTCTGCAGACCATCTTTTGAGCAGCAAGGATCTAGAGTCTTCCAGAATGTGCAGCTTACAGATACTTTAAGGGATGTGTTTCGGGTCTACCCTTTCAGCCAAATAAAATAATAAAGAACAGCCGATTCTAAAGTTTAGCATTGTTCTGATCAGCAAATGTTGTTGATTTGGATATTTTTTTCTGGAAGTGGCAACTTCAAGTAAGCATTATTGAACCTCGGACTGTCATGTTTCACTATTATTACTAAACTCATTTTTAGTGATCAAAAAACTCTCCCAGCATTCTTTGTGCTGGTAAGCAAGCAGCTCCTTCATTAGAGACATTAGAGAGGTTATTCAGAGGGAAATGAATCCAACAAAATGTCTAAGATAACATACAGTACATTATTTCTTTCCATCACAGAAGTGAAAAGGTGTTCCATGAATCCTTAGGCATATTTCTTAGAACTACTTCTCAGCTACTGATTAAAACTGGATTTACAGGCAAGGCTACAAGTATGATGTGTCCCCTGCCTAGCCCTACAACCTCTCCTACTCCTCAATCCAAAGGTAGAGAGACACCAACCTTCTTTCAGTTTCTGCAGTGTGCCTGGGGCCTTTGCACTTGCTGTTTCCTTTGCCTTGCACACTTTTGGCACTGTCTACTCCAAATTCCCAAACTCAACACCCAATTGACTCCTGCTTATACTATACATCTCAGTTCACAAGTCAATTCTCTCCAAGGGCTTCCCTGAGCCCCTAGCCCATGTTAAATTCCTTCTTGTATCTTTTTCCAAGTCAGTTAACATAATTGCCAATTATACATTTAGTTCTTTCCTTATTTAATGTCCCCAACCAAACTAAAAGCTCCGTAAAGGTAGATTTCTTTTGCTTTTCACTGTCGCTCCATGCCAAGCACATTCCTGGCACATAATTGGGATCTCAGAGTAAACAGTTGAGGAAGTAAAGCCTAGGGTTTCCACTTACCTATTGTGTGCTTTGCACTTGTCATGGAGCCCACTGACAAGCATTCCTAAAGCATTTACAATAGGCAGGGACCTCACAACTGCGCTATAGTTGTTAACATCATAGAATTTTAGAATGAAAGGGTTAAAAGGGTTTTCCTAATATAGAAGGCAAATCTGAGGCAGAAAGGGCTGACTTGCTTAATATCACCCAACTAGTCCCTCCAAGGGAGACTAACACATAGATCCCATGCCATAACCCCATGGTCTTCCCCACAGCATAGGTCTATGATATCCCAGAGGAAATATTTGTAAATACACACAAGAAGGATATTTTATCCCACTTCAAGTCCCACTGAATATTGAACTACACAACAGTGACCAATAGCTAATAACTATCGTCAAAGGTGAATTTAGACTGCCAACACAAGACATCAGAATTTCCTAGATTTATGTCTTTTAAAAAAATTTCCCCAGACTGGTGTCATTTGAATCTTAACTCCCATTAATCCAGGACTCCTGTAAATTTATACCAATATTATGATACAGCCAAAGTTAGTTTTGAACTCCTTTATATATTTTTGATGCGTGAGTTATACACATATATACAAACATATGTGTGTTGGGGGGCGGTGGGGGTTAAGAGTTCCTTTAAACTTGTTAGTTCCTAAGGGCCAGAGGGGTCATATCAATTCTTTCTGGAACTTCACGTATTATATCAAAATAAATATCATTTACCAACTTTGGTACCAAAAGAGAGAAAGTCAAAAGGTATAACTTTACCTGAAAGTGGAATTCATTTATCTATCTTTTCTTCTTAAAGAGATTTTTGAAATTTGAAATTTATATTATATACCCATTACTTAATTCATGATTTGCTTTAGCATCCCTGGAAACCCCATTTCCCCCAATACGATATAAAATGAAATAAAAAATCATGCAGTGAAGCCTATTTTTATCCATGGTTAATCCTAATAATGAGCATTCAGAAGGTTCAAAGATGCTGATGAGGGGAACATGTGAGTTCCACATATGAAAAGCCTGTGAAGAACTTGCCAAGGCTTCATATGTCACTCCATGACAACCTAATATTAATGAATACATTCTTGAAGGGGAATTCTGAATTAAGCGATGGTTTTTATTAATTTCTAAAACTGCTTTGGCCTAGTGAACCATGGGCTTTGACTACAGAAGGTAGGGAGCATGGGCTCCAGCCCAAATGCTGTCAAAAGATAAGAAATGGCTCCGACAGACATCAATCTGTTACTGTTCACAGGGCTGTCTCTTCCCCTCCTTCTCCTTCCAGTTATTAAGCAACAGTGTCAGTCATGGACCCGTTCCTCTTTTCTCTTTTTATTAATGATTTAACATGGATATGTCATTACTGCTCTATACATCTTTATGCAGATGGCACGACTGTGCATTTTAATGGCAAATCTGTTTCTCACTTAACTACTGAACTGCAAAAAGACTTTGGCAGACTGGTTCCAGGAAAACAAACTGGTTTTAAAAGCAGCAAAAACTAAAACAATGCTTTTTGGCTCTACTGCTCATCAGAGCTTGAATAGTGATGACTTTAAAAGCCAGAATGATTTGAGAAAATGGCTTATTAGAGATAATTTTAAAATATTAGGTTGAGTGTGAGTACATGCTTAAGATTATATTACGTATTGTTTTTTCAAGAGGTAGAAGACTGAACTATAGAAAGGATTTCCTTGATTTTTTTTGTTACAAAGTTGTTTTTTAAACTGTATGTGATAATATTTCTCATTTACTAATTAATACTAATGGAAATTTTTCTTTTATTCAGTTTTCTGAAGACCAAACATTAAAACATAAATTGGTTTTAAGAATCTTACTCTTTAACATATATACTCAACAAATGTAAATTGTATCTGCTAAAATAATTTCTAAGAATGGAAAGCATCTGAAACAAATGTAAGCTGGGGCTGATTTTGTTCACATGAAATAAGTAACAATTTATATCCTAATCTATATAAAATAATTTGAAAATACCATACTTTGAAAAATCAACCCACCATGATATGTACTTTTTCAGTCTGTGTTTCTCTCTTCCTGTCTCTCGTCTTCTTTCTCTTTGTATATTCCAAATATTTTTAAAGTATATTTTAATTAAACGTTTTCTTAAAAGCCATAGGTCTTTCTTAACTCTATATATTGTACATATTGTTCTTTGTCTTTTTGTTAAAAACAGTATTAATTTTTGGTTAACAATGGCAACGTTTATTCACTGTAGAAAATATGGGGAGAGGGAGAGAAATAAACCCTGAATAATCTCACCACCCAGAGTGCATTTAATTTTCTTTACTTTCTGCTTGTATAATCCACATTTAAAAGCATCAGAAAGATGCTTTAAAATAATATCATTCAAATAATTAAAACTAGAGACCCTTAATGATCACTTAGCCCAGAGATTTCCAAATCTGTTTAATTTGGGGATTATTTTATTATATAAAAATTCAATACGTAAGACAACTCAGAGGATCTGTCCTACTGATAATGGAAAAACCAGCGTCATATCTGCTAATTCTATCCGCTCCTCTCTTTTCCCATTTCCAGGAAAAACAGTTTGAAGTCAGCTTTCTAGCTCAGTTCCCTTATTTTACAGATAAGAAAAACTATATCCAGAGTAGTTATAAACTTGTCCAAGGTAACACAGCTAATAAAAGAAAAACAAATAACTCTGCCAGATGTGTGCCAAGTATTCATCAAAGCATTAGATTAAGATAAAATTCTTACTCCCAAAGCACCAAAATGGTAGGGAAGACTGATTGTTTCCAGAGGGTGGAATGCATGTATAATAGAGACAAGAATTGGAGGGTGATAGGAGCACAAAGGGATGGGCCCTATATCAGCTCAGTTGATTCAACTGGAAAACCAAAACTTTCTGGCCAGTATCTGGTTTTATAAAAGGTGTGACCTGAAAACCACCAAATATTTATACTATTTTCTCCCTGTTTTCATCTAGCTTTCAACAGATAAAATCAACATTTGTGGGGTTGGAGTCTATCTATGGAGTGGGGGAAGGTTATGGAACACATGACCATTTTGAAAACATTTATGCTTATTGTGGCCTGAGTTAGTATGAATCCAATACACGCTGAAATTACATAAAATATTTGCTTCATTTTTTTCTCCTTTTGGCTTTGTGCATATAATAGTCAATGTTTTTCTGTGTCAAACACAAAAATGTAATAAACATAAAATCAAGATACAGTTAGTCTAAAATCATGGGATTTTAAATATTGAAAAATAATGCAGGATAGGAAGAAAAAACCTTCAAGAGTTCCCACAGAAGGACAGTCTCCTAGTATAGCAAATATAATTAAAGTATGTTACATCACAGATTTTAAGTCAACTGAATTTTATTCCATTGACAGGTTAGCATGACTATCTTTGAAGATGAAAAAAATTGTTGCTTGTTGGGAGAAAAATTGGGAGTGGATAAGGTATTAAGACTTCTAATCTAATGAGGAAGGCATCAATCCTTACTCATATGATTCCTGGCCACAATTCCTCTTTATATCAACTACCTTAGAATGTGCATAGCAGCATCTATAAATATAAATCAGAATGGAGTTGTTTCAAGAACAGTGTACATATTTTTAAAAGCATCACTTAAAGCATTCTTTCATGACAAAGCTTAAGTCACTTTTGTTTTATCATAAATAAAGGGAATGCAGGACAAATTCTTGGCACAAAGTTATCTGTCGAAAAGTAAATGCTGTTTGTTATCATGAGTGATTTATTGCCAATATTATGATTTTCAGATGCACTGAGTTAGTTGGTCTCATCTTTTTATGGGCTACATTGACTTCTATTCCTTCTCCTCAACTTGTGCCATGGAAACTATGCAGTGAAATAAATCTCAAGGGGATAATAGTGTGATGAATTGGTTTTGCAAAATGCGTTTTTTTTTATTTCCACATATATATCACTCCTTCCTGATAGGAAAGAAAATAATTGGCAAGATTAGTGTTCTAAGTCTGTAAGCAATTTTTTCTTTGAAAGTTCAGTAACTCATGAAATTTATTAAAAGTATTAATTTAGCACCTATGATGTGCCAGGAACTGAGGGTACTAAGGATCTGGCAACAACAACAACAAAAAAAACAGGTTAAGCCTCTGTCTTCACTGCGTTGACTTTCAAGTGGAGAGTCTGACAGGTCAACAAACAAATATTATAAATATATCCATAAGAAGCCAGCAGCAAGTACTATAAAAAATCAAGGAATACAAAAGCAAAAATAATAAATGAACGGGTTAAATGTTATTTTCTGTAGTCTGGTCAGAGAGGCCAGATTTCTGAAATAGAGCTAGTTTAAGGAAAAAAAAGCACTAGTATAAGAAAAAAACTAAAGCTATTAATATCTTGAGAAATTGAAATTCACAAAACAATAAGGGAAGGAATGCCATCAGAATGCTTTCTGAGGTAGTGCGCTCTTGTTCCAATAGGAATTTTAATTTTAATTTTTATGGTAAGAAAACTGCCATTTTGAAAAGGCCTTTCTGAGCATTCAATGCCTTCACACTGACCTGTCTAGTAAACAAAGGTTATGCCTTACTATATGATTTTTTAATGTAAGGCGTGCATGATATTTAACCCTCAGTTTCTTAAAGTGAGCATCAGTTTTTAAAATGTGATGGACAGCCTAATTTGAGGATAATTTTAGAAAGACTCTCAAATGTAATTCATACATTTTTCTGGAAGTTTCTTCTAATAGTTAACATTTTTCATGTTGTAATTATATAATGTACAAATAATGCATATAATGTATAATGTCATGTTGTAATTATATAATATACAAATATTTAAACAAATGTCTAAAATGTAGGTTATGTGGATTATTTACACTATGCATGTTTTCTCCTCTGATTGAGAAACTACCATCAATGTTAAATTTAGAATTTATCCTAACAGACGAAATCAAATAGAATTTGTCATAATTTAAATTGTAATTTGTTCATCATATATACATATTAGTCTACACCCATGAATATATTGTTATAAATTACATGCACATTTGTTTTTTGTTTTAATGAAGAATCATCCTGGACTGGTACTTTGTTTTAGCTAGAGCTTGTTAGCATAGATACCATCAACATCTAGTGAAATCATCTTTAAGGGATCTGGATTTATGATATCTGTGGAGTGAGAGTCATACTGGCCAACATCCAGTCATGTCATTAAAATTTAGAGGCGGATCTTCTGAAATGAGAGAATAAAATCTTCTTTGTGTATAAATTGTTTTATTAGATAATGTGTTGATACTGTAATATTTCAACTCAGGTAGAAGGCATTTTAATTAATATGTGGATTAAAATACCTATAAATCTTAATGAAGGTGAAATCTATTCCTTATCTAGACACATCTGAGCCAGGCAACAGATGGAGCAGGTCCTTGAACCAGACCTTGAATCAGGACCACTGCTTAACCTGACACTTGCTTAGAGGCATAGGCTTATTAAACTCTCTGCTTCAGGACTCCAGTAATGCAATCTCGGTGAAGAAAAATAAAATTTAGTATACCTGAAATTAACACTTTATACCAGCAAATTTGAAATAGCAATATGTTAGAGACATCTAGCCCTAAGAAAAACTTGATGATCTTGGCACCAAACAAATCCTTTGATGTCTCATTAATATGTCCTGTACCATAACTCTGGATATGGATTTTTCTCTGTCTTCTAGTAACTATGAAGCATGAGATAATTTATCCAAATTCCTGGGCTTGGGATGAAGATGCTTTTGCATTGTTCACAGGTAGCCAATTTTATTAGTTCATTCTGTCACTTGTATCAACTGGACCTGTTTTCTGACCAATAGGCTAGGACATAAGGGGATTAGATTAATCACTAAAGTCTTTTATAACTCAAAATATGAATCGGACTATTTTGACTAGTGAATATTTTATCAAGTCAAAAGATTAGATTTTATTTTTTCCAAGTCCTACCTTAACGTTCATTGTTCTTTAAAGAAGAATTACATTTTAAAAATCATTGTCTATAACAATATAAATGAGTTACTAAAATCCGTCAAACACATGACGGATAATTTTTGATGCTGGTGGAAGGGATATGATAAAAAGTCAAAGGCTTGGAGTCCTCAGCAGAGAAATAACTGGTCTCAGAAATAGCTTTAATTAAATGAAGATTAATAAAATGCAAAAAATAAAAAATAGATATTTCAAGATAGTCTAATATTAACTAATTTTTGAAATAAATGCATCTAATATTTTAATGTCAGGATAACCATGTACTGAAGAACATATGATACTGAAAAGTGTTCTTCAAGGTCTCATCTGTAGCCTTCTCTCCCCTTCTTATTGCTACAAACCTCCAGCTAGGACTTCCTCCTTATTTCACACCTGATCATTGCACCCACCTACCAGTCCCTCCGAGTCCAGTAACTGCCAATACATCCATTTACCTGGAATTACCTAAAATACCACTTTAATTGTGTTACTTCCCTCCTAAAATTCTTTTAATGTAAACTCACATCTGACCAACTTAGACTAAATGCAAACACTTTAGATTGTTTTCATAAAGAATATTAGTCTTATTTATCTGCTCAAATCTTTGAAGTCCACGTACCATGATCACTCATGCCTTGATGCCTTCACTCATCCCAGTTTTCCTTACTAAGAACATATTTTCCCCCTTTTGACTAGCCTAAGTCCAGTTAAATTCACCTTTAAATTCCCAAATTAGATCCCTTTAAGCATGAAACATTCTTTGAATTATCTAGTCTTCATTTCCCTTCATTCCTTTATACCATATTGAATGAGCCCGCTTTGAATGTCTAGAACAGAGGTGAAAAACTCAAATACATACAGGAGCCAGGGGCTAGGTAGGTTACACAAATAAGCGAAGAAGGCCAGAATAGAGTAGTGTGGAGGGGAGATCATGGCAAAGCAGTGTGTGTATTGTACCTAACTGGGATAGCTCCTACTCAGCTCCAACCAACTGTTGCAGTAGGAGAATGCCCACTGATTTTCCAAAACGAAATTTAAGAATCCAGATATTTTGCCTGAAATGTCCCTATGTTTAAAACACTATGGGCCAAACAAAATATGTCTTCATGTCTGCAGGCTGAATTTGACTGCAAGACCACCAACTTATGGTCCCTTGGAGATACAGCATTTATACTCTGTATTACATGATAGAGTATGTACACACACACACATGCACACACACACATACACACTTACATGTAATATTGTTTTTAGACAGTTAAAGAGGTCTTCTCACTTTCTCTGTGCTCTCTATGAATATTTTCTGTATTCTTAAAATGAATAGTCCAGTGCTAAGTGTGTGACCAAACCGCTTAGCTATGTAAATGAGCCATTGCATGTTTAAGGACACTACTGCTGTCTGATGACAGGTAAGCCTCATTATGAAGTAGTTACTACACTGTCCTTAGCAATAGAAATTTATCTCTTTTGAGGGCAGCAATATCACAGTTTTTTATTGATAGGAAAGTCACATTAGATCACATATTTAAATCTTGCCTCGATTTATTATGATTAATAATTAAGTCAATTCGTATCTGTCAGCTAATGTCAGATCTGTCACATTTGTAATGTGGTTCGGATTACATTATTAGTAGCATTTGCTTTATAAATTCAGTTCCTGGCATAATTTATTTGCATGAGACAGGGCTCTTCAGTAACGTAAAGTGTTTAGCAAATTTGATAGAATTAGGCATGTGTACGATCCAGTTAAGTAATTTGGTATATCAATTAAGTAATCTGGTATATCATTTAAGTAATATAGTCATGTTTACTAACTTTAATAATTCAGTAATATGATAAATCTTTAATTTGATACATCACATTTCATTTTAATAAACAGCTCATATTTCCACCCCCAGTCCTACACCTGTGTACAGTTGAATGAACAGGATCTTGCCAAGCAGATTCATCTAGGAGAAGGGTGGGGCTGGACCACTTTCTGGGGGAAGAGTTAATCAAAATGGATTTCTAAGGGAAAAATTGGATTCTTTGGAAAAGATGCCTGGCCATGTGTATATTGTTGTACAATGATAGCAAGATAGAAACTATGAAGCCATGAAGTCATGAAATACCTGGTACTTGCAAAATGGCAGGAGAGGAACAGAGCAGAGGGCTGGTGCCAAGCTCAGGAGTGCAACCTTGCATTGAGCCACCATGTGTCCAGCCACAAACATGCTCTGACTATGAATGAAGGAAAGAAGGTTCACTGGGGGGGCTGTGTTGTACAGCACTCTCCCAGCTTGCAATGGAGCCACAGGGCCAGGGTCCTGCTGTGGGGCTTTGCCACTCTCACTGTCAGAGAACTGACAGTACCTGGGCCTTTAAAAGAGAGGTGGACCATGTAGAATGATTCAAAAGGGCTGCATTTTAGGACACAGATGGGTATCAGCTATGAAGGACAACCCATAAGCATTTTGAACAGGTCCTGTTCGTCTGGCAACTAGCTGAGTTGCCATCACAGCTTAAGCATGTCCCACAGTGTGTTGAATGATACTGGAGGTGGGTCAGTGGCGACTCACCTCCCAGGCTGTCCCTAGTATTAGCAAAGGATGGTGTTGGTTTAGAGACACTGGGAAGCCCCTGCTGCACACTGCTTCTCCCCACACGTCATCACAGGTACTTAATACCTCAAGGACCTCTCTCCTCACCCTTTCAAATTCCCTCCTCTCCCTGGGTAAGGTTGGTTTCTGGCATCTTCTTAATGGATATCTCTTAATTCCTATTTCTTCATGACTTTGCCTTTTGATTCTCAACATATTCTGCTCTACAAAAGTCTAAATCCTGCAGATGAAAGCTTTGACTTTCTGGCTTGGACTTCAGTAGTCTATTTTGGGGGCCAAAAGCTGAACATTGACTGCTTCTCTTTGTCACAAAAACTGAAAGCTGCTCAAAGGAATGAACTCTTCCTACTGAATATGGGGAAGGTTATCTATCAGAATGTTTGAAAGATAAAAGCACATTAATTTGTATGTTAAAAGTATTACTAATATTTCTGTTTGCTTTTTTCTCTCCTTTTTTAGACATTTCCATCTTCTAGGACAAGAGTCACATCTTAGTTATCTTTAGAGTAACAACCCTGGCACAATATCAGAGGTATACAGGGCTTGATTGGCTTGTTTTTAGCTAATTATTAGAATAATAAATATAAATTATAAAGATGTGCTGATTTGAACTGGGTGTTTAAAAACTGCTGTAGACTTATCTAGAGAAGAATGACCAGAGGAGAGGAAATAAAAAACAGTGGCTCCCCAAGGCTTTGGGTTGGCATATTCACCCCTCCTTAATTCTTTCTTTCTTAAAGAAATAATCCTGTTTTCAAATGAGCGTGAGGCTGGAAGCCTATAGTCAACCTGCTGACCAGTTTAAGAAAAGTGAATATTCTCACCCTAATAATTCCTTGTCATTGTCTAAGCAGCATTTGCTGGGTGTGTGACTTTGAACCAGTTAGTGTGAAGCAGTCCCCAACTCCCAAACCTTCATAAACTTTCTTCCCGTATCTCTCTCCTACCCCACTAGGCCACTACCTCCACCCTAAATCAAGGCTCAGTTTAAGTTACAGAAGGGAACTTTTCCTTTTGTAGTGTAATTCAAGGCTGAAAAAGAGAAATTCTTGTAACATACTAAAGCATAGGAGATAAGGTAGCATAAGATGAATCACAAAAGTTCTCATTGTATTTCATAGATTCTTTCACAGACTAAACCTACAGGAAAGCCTCTTCATCGTCCCTTCCTCACCCAGTGAAGCTGTGTGGGGCACAGAATGACTGCTGGCCTGACAAAGGAGGCAGAATCTGGGAAACTGAGGCCAGGGAGCAAAGAACCAAGAGAACATGTGTGGGTGGGGGAGGAGAGTGCCGCTTGACCAATTTTTCTCCCCAAATGTCTTCCTGAGTTATTTTAGTTTTCTACTCAGGAAGAAAATTGTAGGAATATCACATGTATACATTTTTAATAGTTTCTAATTAATTAATTTCATCACTATCTTGGGACTATATGAATTGTGTATAAATTATCACACTTACTTCCCCAGACTTCTCTGGGTCTTTCACAAGGGAGAGCTTGGGCCATAATGGAGGTCTCAAGGCAGATCTACTGTGGCAAGTCAACAGTTCTGAATTCATGCCAATTTTGTGTTAGAAAGCAATGGGGTACGGTTGGATGTACACACATTCTAAAGTTCAACAGACCTTAGTGACTTATTTGCTATGTGATATTGGGCAAAGTTCTAAAGATTTCTAAACCTCAGTTTTTTTTAATCTATAAAGTAATGGCAGTAATCTCCTTCACAACAATTAAGTGGCCAGTCCATGGTACCTCTTTCTGTGGTAGCTGTTGTTACTCTCACAATCAACCAGGCAATTTGCAGCCATGTAGAGGAGCTGCGTGTTGTTCTTTCGATTCAGAATTCTTGGAGGGGTATTTCTTTGTCCAGCTTTTATTTTTCTTGTCTTACATAGTTTACTTTTAAGGTAAGGAGAATTTGACAGCTTTATAAAAAAATCTGGGCATGAATTTTAATACTTAATTTACTTCCAAAATGCTTTAGAAAAAAAGTGGTTTTTTTTTGTAGAAAAGTTAAATTCATATTGTGATATGACTACCAATTCATGTAGTAAATAAGTCTGTCTCTGTAGAGGTGAATAGGAATGTAAATGTATTGAAATATCTGGACATTTTCACCATGAAAAAGAGATGACTCAAAATTCTCTTTGTTAATTTTATTTGAATAGTTGTGATTTCAATTTGATACTCATCTATTTCAAAGTGACATGATTTGATAAGGAGAAATGAGGGAGTGGTCTTCAGAGAAAACTTTTCTTTGTGTTGGCTGTTGAAATTATCAGTGTCAAATGCTGATGTGAAAATAGATATTAGTGTTATAGATATAATATGAATGGAACAATGCAGCTAAGTATGAGTCAGTAAATTTTTTTTCTCTCTTTTCCTTTGTATGGTTTAAAAAATAAACTACTCATTACAAAGAGGTGTTTTTAAAATACAGAAAATAGAAAAAGAAAAATAAACATTAAAATTATTACTTGTGACCTACAGAAACTTGCAAAAATGAAAAAAAAAAAACTATAAAATTCCAGTAGGTAAATTATTGGGGATTTACACAAAATCATATCTACAAATATATATCTACAAATGTGTTCATGGAGGCACTATTTAAAATATAAAAAAAATAGAAACAATCTTAAAGTTCCAAATCTGGAAGATTAGTTAAATGGATTATGTTGTATATCCATATGATAGAATACAACGCTGCAGCCAAAAATCATTTCATAAAATACTTGTAAATGATGGTAAATATTTACATAAAGTTTAGTTCATTCAGCAAAAAAGTCAAGTTACCAAAATGTTCCATGTTGCATACAATATCACAAACTTTACCAACTGGCGTGGTCAATAAAAAGTCATAGTTGTACAACTTTTAGGCCCCCCATGCCAAATTTGTAGAAGTCCAGTCACTTTCTTTGGTTTCCACTTGGCATATTATGGAGTCCCATGGTTTATTTTTTATTTTTTATTTTTTTATGTCTGTCCATGCCCTTCACCTGCTGCCATTCACATACCTCCCTAAACATTGTCACCTAGAGATATTTGTCTCTGCAGTTCACCACTGACTGTAGCACTGCCTCTCGATCTTGGGGGTTGCTGGAGGTGGATTGCTGGATGACTAGAGTAGGGCCTAGTCATGCAAAATCTCTGGAGCCACTTTTCCTAAACACAAAATTGTGTTGCCTTCTTACTGGAGACCTGGGCAGGCTACTAGTTCCAGTTCTCTCCATGTCCCCACCACCTCACATTGTCCTTAGTTTGGGTCTCTGCCATTTGCCAAATTTGAATAGATTCTAAAGGTAAAAAGGAAGATACTCCTAGCATGGGTAATATTCAGTCAGAAGCCCTGTAAATGAAATTGTCTGGACTCGCCATTTACTATTCTTGGAGGTCCTGCTCTGTAATTCACATATGGCCCTTTCCCTGACGTACCAAAATAACAAAGTCCTTGACTTTGGTTTGGGCCAACATCTTCAGAGGAAACTCTCTCACTTTCTACCTTTATCATTATTTGCTTTTATGGGCTCCCCTGTGGCTTTTCTGCCACCTGTCCTCTGTCATGCCTTCACCATCCACTTCACCATACAACATATGGGCTCTTCTCATTTCAGGGTTTAGATGAGAAACATAGTACCTGCTTAAATCATTTTGGGCCTTTGTAGTTTTAGAGCTCTAAAGTTTGGAACTAAAACACCAGGGATGCCCAAAATTGGCTTTCGTGGCTGTTAGTTCTATCAAACATCAAAGACAAAAGTTGGAAAACTCAATCCTGAAGTGGCTGTGTCTGTTGGAAGCTGAGACTTACAAAAGGCATATCCTTAATTGCTTCCATCAGAGATCAGCTGAGGTTGCAAGCTGCTTCAAGGACTTAAGGGGAAAAGAAGAGAAAGAAGGGGAAGAAGGGAAGGAAGGAAGGAAGGGAGGGAGGGAGGGAGGGAGGGAGGGATGGAGGCAGGCAGGGAAGGAGGGAGGGAGGGAAAGGAAAGGAAAACACAGGAGTGATCTTTTTAGATTCCTATAGAAAAGCCTGCATACCAACAGAAACCGACCAAACGCAGTGGCTTACGCCTGTAATCCCAGCATTTTGGGAGGCCAAAGCGGGGGACCACGAGGTCAGGAGTTCAAGACCAGCCTGACCAACATAGTGAAACCCTCATCTATACATAGTGAAACCCTCATTTATACTAAAAATACAAAAATTAGCCAGTGGCAGGCATGGTGGCGGGTGCCTGTAATCCCAGCTACTTGGAGGCTGAGGCAGGAGAATCGCTTGAACCCAGGAGGTGGAGGTTGCCGTGAGCCAAGATTGCGCCACTGCACTCAGCCTGGGTGACAGAGCGAGACTCCGTCTCAAACAAAAAAAACAAAAACAAACAAAAATCATAAACTTTCTCACAGAGAATCTTGTCCTCGAGGTATCATCAACCCAGGTTTTGACCTTTGACGGGGCATAGCCTACAGATAATGGACTGAGAAAACCTCCCCAGAGGATGTCTATTGGGATTGAGATGTACATCTCCTCCAGCTGAACCTTAAGTTCTGAGTCATTAGAAATAAATTAAATTACAGTAATTCTTTTCTTAGACTACGCCTGGATTACAAAAAGACAAGAGTGGAAGCATTGCTTATATTTGAGCATGCTCTTCCAGAAGAAGGCTTGCATAGATATTGAAATTCAAATATATATTACAAAAAGTAACTGTCTCCAAAAAAGAGCTTAGAGTGCTAAGTTTGATATAAACATTGTAAATTTATTGAATTAAAAAATGGTATCTTGAGATTTCAGGGTCTTAAGAATGACTGAATAAAACCTTAAGAAAATATTCAATTGAAACCATGAAGTTTCAATTAGTAACATTATGAAAAGTAAAGAGCTTGTGTTTGATTATTTGCTAGTAGGTGTTAATGTGGTTTTAGCCACGAAAAAAGGATGACATTGTGAATATATATGTATGTGGCTAAAAACTATATTTAAATCAATAATTCTTTCACATGACCTTAATAGACTTAAAGTCAAAAAAAAAATTTACTTTGGGCTGAGAAGAATAGTCCCTAGGCTAAGGAATAAATAGGAGACTAAGGCAGAAATAAAGATAAAGGTGGCAGCTTTAAAATTTTATCATAAGCAAAACTGATTCTACAAAGTTGGAAATCAGATCAACTCTCCCTCTCTTCTTGGTTAATAAATCATTTGTGCCTTTTAAATATCATGAATTGATTAAAATAGACTGTACACTAAAACTGCAAACATCAGTGGTTTCCCCTAAATTTAAATAACATTGTTTCATCTATTTTTTCTCTGTAAAGTTTAATGTAATTATTACAAAAAGAAGAAGTGGGACTGTTGAGCAGGGCATATTTTGATTCCACAAAGAAATTGGATTTCTATTTAAAAACTAAATGTCTAAAGTTTTATATTAATATTTTGTAAAATAGAGACTCACATGCAATTACAGTGTGGACAAGTAGAAAAAATGATTTTTTAATGAATGGGTTCTAGCAGAAGCCACTAATTTATATGATTTCTATAAAATTTCAGTGATGCCTCTTCTATTTTTTCATTTACAGTTTATCTTAATAGATTACAGTTTTTTAGATTAGATTTTAGAAGTATGAATTTAAGAAGCATTAGGTTAAAGCCACTGAAAAAAACTGAGTTTTCTTCTAGGGCTATCTTTGATTAAAATTAAGAAATATATATATAATATTTATGGACATATATAAACATACATATAGGTAACATTTACATATATTTACATAATTTTATGTATTGTGTGTAAGTTTTAAATTACAATTTTAAAATTTTATATATCTGCTCATAATAAAAGTCAAAAAAGGATATTTTGGTTAAAAACTCAAGAGCCTTTATTTACACTTAGTTCTCTGCTAATCTAACTCTATGAAATCATTTGGATCTTTCTTCTGCAAACTTTGCTATAAAAATACACAGCATGAATATTGTGTCAATAAGGGAATGTTGCATAGTGTAAAAAAGAAAAGAGTTTGTGGTTTTGAAAAGGGAGCAAGATAAATTTAAAATCTTTAATATCAAAACAGGATTTAGAAAAGTTGCTATGTATTTGAATACATGATAATATAACGTTTCTAATATCACTAGAAATTAAATAGTAGGAAGCAGATTTTCTTCTTTTGTATGCTAGCCAGAACTGAAATATATAAATCTTGCACTTATAAATATACATTATCTCTTTGTAGATTAACCAGATGGTGGTAAAATAAAACTCAATGTACCAAACTTTGGATACAGAGCTGCTCAAGTTTTCCTATATTCTCCAGGTGGAATGGGAGTGGGACTTTACCAGCTTCCGTGAGGTGAGCTCTGCCACCAAGAAAAGACTAGCAGCTTAAAGCAGTCACCTTCTAAGAACTCCAAACTGTCAGCTGTACAAATGGCTTTAAATTGAAAATGAGCAGAAACTGCTGCAGCAGCTACTAGGGAAGCTCTTACTAGGTAAAACTGAATGAGAATGTATGAGTGACTCTAGAATAAAGAAATTCAACTGTACATACTTGGTAGTAGTCATGTACAGGGGCATAGAGAGGGGCTTTGGGAGTTAGAGAACTTGGGTTTAGGCAATAAAGCTGTACAGCCTGAAAGAATTTAGAAACAACAATAAAAAGACCTAAGATTTGGTCTGCTTTTTATTATCACTGTGCGCCAGCAGGTCTAGCAATGTTAGTGATAAGATACTACTGCTACTGGGCAGATGGCTCCCACTCCCTCTTTTACCTTGGTGCACCATTGTCTAACAGGGATATTTTAAGGATGGAAAGGACTGCATAGAAAACCCTAAACTTCACTCAGCAGTATTGCTATTTACATTATTCTGGTATTATTATTTTGAAATTTTTGTTAAAGATAAATAAGCACTTTTATTTACTTTCCAAAATGACTGATATTTTCATTTAAAGGGAAATAGATATAATTGTTTAGAATTAAAAGTGTAGAAATACTCTGTTGTTAGAACTAAAGAGTAAACATCAATACACATCTATTTTCTTAGCTTGGTTCGGTGATATAGCCCAAAAGTAATGTTTTACCATGATTTATCTTAGAGCCTAGTCACATCATTAGATTATTATCTCTGGTGCCTTTTTTCCCCCTACTGAAACCTGGGATTAATCTGAAGAAATTACCAAACTCAAATCTGGAGCAGGGACAAAATGAGCCTGCTCATTAGAACAAGATATTTTTCAAAGATTATTGGGGCCATATCAAATGGGCACAACTACCAACCTTGCAAGGATCCCCACTAGCCAAAATTGTTATAGTATAAGCACCAAGAGGAGAAGATTAATTAGGGTTGATGGAAAAACATCAAATGTATGAAAAGCCATAAGTTTATAATATTACACAAAATAGAAAAGCTAATCTTATTCTACAGAAAATAAAACATACTCATTGAATCTTGTTACACCATCATATTGATATTTTTAACTCATTTGTTATTCCAACGAACAACATAGAAATTAAAGAATGTCAAGTAAATCTGTAAGAGGAATGAAGGGGACATATCATTAGAAAAACCTCATAAATTGTGATCACTAGCAAGACAAAGCTATTAAATTAAAATTTAATGAAGTATTCAAATATCCATATCAATCATATATTCCCAAGGATACAAAAAATGGGACAATCCATTTGAAAATTATTTAAATTTAAAATTACTTAAAGTTAAAAGGAATATTTACTTGCCTAAATTAGGAATTACAATGCCAAATTGAATCAAATGATCACACAGGACAAGCACTCCAGAATTCTGTGAGTCGACAG
Source organism: Homo sapiens (assembly GCF_000001405.40). Taxonomy (NCBI): domain Eukaryota; kingdom Metazoa; phylum Chordata; class Mammalia; order Primates; family Hominidae; genus Homo; species Homo sapiens. The sequence goes on along the minus strand of NC_000002.12, from coordinate 198,738,285 downwards.
AAGAATGAGGTAATGTGTTTAACTAGAACCCAGCGAAGTGGGCAAAGATGTCACTTCTTTAGTGAGTTATGGAACCTCTGATATAGAAATTATAAATAGAGGTCAGTGTATCTCATCAAGGTCATGGGTAAGAATTTCCTCAACATCTTAGTCCAAATAGCAGTATTTAATTACCTCCATTAACTGCAATGTTAATTCCTTTTTTTATGTCAAGCATCTATCAACTTTTAGAGTATTTGAATTTAACATAAAAAACTTAAAAAAACTCAAAACCATACTATTAATATTTTTAAATTAAGAAATAATCGGTATATACTTGATATTTTGTGTAATTATAAACAGTAAAACAAGTTATCTCCTTAGAATAAATCTGATGAGAAGTAAGTAGTTGAATACTTAAACTCAGGATTTTATGTTGGAATCTCATTAAGTTTATGTGCAGTGCTGAAGTTTTTAAAAGAACTTAAGCTCTTCTCCATTTACAAATTTAACTTGTTAAAGTTATACAGCTATTCATCAGGAAGATTTTATTTGAATTACTTAAAAATTTAATTGAAGTTCCTACATAGGAATTCAGTTTAATAAATACAGTTTTAAATATTTGAATATTTAAATATTTAAACATCGTGAATTAAGTTTGTGTGTATAAAACAAACTATTGCTTAAAATTCCATAAAGGGGATCATTGAAGTGAGGGATTTATAATAATACTATTTATAAGGTAAACTTAAAAACCTAGAAAAGAGCCCCTATCTATGCTTTTACTTTCCTCTGGCATCCACAGAGGACAAAGAGAAGGCCACCAAGATGCCTAGAAGAATTATATGGAGATGCAGGACACAAAACCCCAGAATCTATGGGCTCCAGTATACCTGGCCATCCGTGTGCCCTTCCCTCAGTGCCCCCAGCCTCAGTCCTAGTTGCCACAACAGACAGAACCTCATGCTGTGAAAAACACATTAGAGAAAATGTGACAGTCTTAGCCAAAAAAAAAAAAAAAAAAAAAAGAACTGTAATGTTTTACTGAATAAACATTGTGAATGCCTTCACATGTATGTTACCACCACACCTTACAAATTGCCTTCTGCAGTTTGCTGACTTAGGACTCCATGTTTTCCCCTGGTCCCAGCCATCACCTGAATTAAAGGAATATTCTTAGGTTGAAGTACGTTTAAACAGAAGTGAGAGAGTTGATGTGCTAAGAAACTGCATTATGGTGGTCAGGCAGCTTTTGGAGGTAAACGCTTCTTGTCCTTACTTCTTGTAAAACAATGATTAGTAAACAACACATTTTAACTTACATTGGGTATCTTTGGTACTTTTCCATAACAATGTATGTATTCATACCCATTTTCCACCTGCAAAGAAATTAAAGCCACTATGAGCTTGTGGCATAAACTTTAAGAAAATGTTACGGGTGTGGCTGGCATTATATGTCTACTAGACAAAGTTGCAATAGACATGGGTCATACTGCATAATGTGTTTGCTGGTTCATTTGTTCTTATCTCTACTCTGAGAGTCTCACACATTTTGGCATATAGATTTCTCTTACTACAGTATTAAAAACTATTAAGAAATATTTGTGTTACTTTTATTATCTTCAGAAAGGAGTTTCTATTTATAACTGTGACAATTTCCACAGTACCTGTATTTTAGAGAAACACACACACATTTTACACTTTTCTCTTTCCTGTACAATTCAAGAGTATAGATATCCAAAATAGGTGCAAACACAATGGATTTTTTTTCTTTGTATTCAACATTTAATGAGTGCTTTCTGTCTGATATTTGTCCCAAGAACTTACTTGTATTAATTCATGAAATACTCAAAACTGTAAGATAGGTACTATTACTAGTCTCATTTTATAGACAGGGAAGTGGAAGCGTTAGAAGTTTAAATAACTTGCCCGTGGTCCCACAGCTAAGATATAAATGTATCTGGGATTCAAACCCCTCAGGACAGTCTGTTTCCAGAGTCTCTGCTTCTGCCATTATGCAATACTCCCTCTCCTCCATGATAGTTTTTCACTTTGTAAAATAAAAAGCAGAGTGGTTTAAATTATGATTCAGCTATTTATTACATGTGTAGTTTCTTTAATGGTTTAAAAAATTTGGCGGCTGCACCTTTCTTAGTACCCCTTGAAATAAAAATCTTCCCTTTGGCACTATCCTCTGGATGCCCTTCAGTGTCACAAGTACTATGCAGTCATTCCGCTGACATCATTAGGTCTAACAGTTCACCAGAAATCACCTGCTATGCACCTTCTAATCAAAGCCAGCTGATACTATTTAGGTCTCTTTTTAGAAAACTTATTTTTTTAAACAAAAACACATCTTTCTGAGAACCTAGATGCCAATTTAATGTGCATTAAAACATCAGAAATCCATTTATGGATTCTAATGGGAATGCTGGCAGACCCTTCCCTGCATCAGGGTTGGGTGGGTGGTACTACTGTATATAGCTGTCACCATAGCATATTTGTGCAATAAAATTAAAATCTTGGTCAGGAATCAGATAGAAGCTTGATATTTTTGATTCACTTTTCTCTGTTATTGCTTATCATCCTTGAAGATGTATTTTTTGGCATCCTGAAAACAAGGAATCTGGTTCCTATTGCTTTAGGCTATATAAATATACCATGTTTATATTAAAATGATAGGCAAATATAGTTAAAGTTGAAAAACATGACCACAGAAAACATTTTTTTTCCTCTCATTACTAAACATGCTGACTTTTTTTTTATTTTTATTAAACTTTTGCCTATGGCCAAAAGAACCTTCTTCACATTTTAACACTTTCAGAGATCCCTTTCATATGGCCTGAATATATTCTATTATAAATATTATTGTGGTTATAAAATTAGGAAAGTACATGTTTTACAAGCATGCAATACTGCAATATATCCTTCAGTAACCGTGAATATTAAAATTCTATTTTTAAAAATAATTATAAATATTTCCATGGTTTACCTTGCAAAGCAACTGGCTTTTAAGAGAAAGCAATGAAGTGGAAAGAGGAGTTGAAAAGAAATGGATTTGAGTCCTGACTTTACCATTTACTAGGTGTGTGATTTTGAACAAATGCCTTAACCACCTTGATCCTCAGTTTTTTAATATTTATAAGGGCTAATAATATCTCCTTCCCAGGGTCATTGTGAAGTATACAGAATAAACACATATTAAAAACCTTACAGAGTGGACACTCAATAAATACTACTCCTGTATCACCCCAATCTTCTTTCTATTTGATCAATTTAGCTAATTAAGTTAAATGCAATTTATCTGCACTTGAATATCCATTCACAATTTTCTGAATTACATAGAATTCATACTGACAAACATATTACTCTATTTTTAAAAAGCAAGTTTGCTTTTCATATAGATTTATAGTGTTTACATTCTTTCTGTACATCTTTTGGCTGATTTTATAGTTTTGGAAGGCATTATTAGTACTCTGGTTTTTACATAACCAAGTCCTAGCAGATATGAATTGTTTGTGTAAAAGATTTTAATTCTAAATAATAAATCACAATTATGCATCAATTGCTATTTTTTTCTACTCTTGGGTTTCCGTGAATGATTCCCTCTTAATTGCTATGATTAGATGATAATTTAGCAAATTATACTTACAATGTAAATTACAGATGAATCTCTGATTGCAGAGACTCTGTTGGTTCCCTGCATCTCATCCCCAGGACTACTTCTAATTTTAGCCATAGTCTTAGATTTATGCAGTGTCCCACCTCAAGCAAGTGTCCCCACCTTTGCTTTCTGCTTGCCAAAACAAAAAGCCACTGCTGTTTGCACACACTAGGATGAGAGATCTAGGAGAGTTACCAACCAACCCCTCTGCACTTCCTCAACCAATGGAAAATGGGAACCATTTGATCAATTACCTAGTTTCCATCCTTCCTAGAATTCAATGCATTTTATGCTCTACTCAGAGATCCTTATGGAGTCAGGCCTTGTTGTCTCCAGCAGCAACTTACCAAACCCAGTCTTCTATTGGGTTTCCTGCTTCCCTGCTTCACTCCTCTCCTTCCTCACTCCTGCTACCTGGGATCACTCCCAAATAAGCTGCCCACACCCAAGTCTTTGTCTGAGGCTCTGCTTTTGAAGGAACCCAATATAAGATACTGACCTTGCAGCTCACCTCTTAAAATTCTTTACTCCCTTTTCCTTCCAAGATGAAGCCCAGGCTTTTTAACAAGATAAGCAGGGAAGATGCGACAGGATTTAACCTATGTTTAATCTCCTACTATCTTTTCTACATGACTAAACTCTAGCAGTACTTAAAAACGTGCTTATTATTATAACTAGGTTATAGTTATAATAGGTTATAACTAGGTTATAGTTATAATAGATTATAACTAGGTTCTCAAATGCCTTTGTATTTTTACAGAGGCTTTTCTTGGCCTAGAATAATATTCTATGTATTTGCTTTCTTTGTTTAGAAACATGATCTTGCTCTGTTGCCTCGGCTGAAGTGCAGTGGCACAATCGTGGCTCACTGCAGCCTTGAACTCCTGGGCATAAGCAATCCTTCCACCTCAGCCTCCCAAGTAACTAGGACTACAGGTGCACAACACCATGCCTACACACACACACATACACACACACACACACACACACACACACACACATATATATATATAATATTTGGGTGCCAAATCAGGTATGCATACTGCATACTCCCATTATATTACCATTCTTTATTTTACCATAATTGTAGAATTTGATCTAAGAATTGGCAAAAATTGGTGGATAAATATTATTCCTCAATTCTTGTGCATTGCTAGTGAGAAAGCAACTCATTTTAAAGGGAAATAGAATTAGGTCAATGGCCTACAGTGCGGTTGTCACACTTAGCAAATAAAATATCAATTTGAATTTCAGATAAATAACATTTTAATGTATAAGGATATCTCATATATTGAATGACATATACTTTAAAATGTACTCATTGATCAGAAATTTAACTGGAAATCATGTATTTTATCAAGCAACCGTATAAAGCCTGAGAACCACGGGAATGCTCATGCAGGAAAGAGAGGCACAGCTCTAGGTCTCCAGTGTCTTGCTTGGAGCCTTTGAGATAAAGGGCCTCAGGGAAGCCACAGTTAAAGCAATCTGGCTGGCAGGGGAGAAAAAAGAATTACTACTGAGTAGTTTTTTCTAGACAATATAATAATAACCAGACTAATGACCTGGGAAATAACTGCTGTGCTAATCCCTCCCTCCCACTAAACTATGAACTCCTTAATAGTAGGTATTGTGTTGTAGTCATTTTGGATCAGCACTATGAAGTGCAATGCTTTTTACATGGTAGGTATTATATGCATATATATATATAGATATATAGATATAAAGTACATGTTTAGTATGTAGCATATTAACATTTATGTAAATATGTTTATATATAATTTATGCATAATGATTTAGAGAAAGAAATTTGAAATATGAAAGTGTTACTTTCTTGTAAGTTACCTACTTTATAAGAGTTATTTATTAGTACTTAGTGTCAAGATTCTGATTTTTCTAGTTATTATTTTCCATATTATGTCTTATTTCCAAACATTCATTTCTAGAATTATAAGGTAAAGATTTTAAAACAATTTATATGTTTTTTTCCATTTTCTACTTACAATATGATTAAATTAAATGTTTAAAACTGTTTGTACTCCCAGCTACTTGGGAAGCTGAGGCAGGAAGATTGTGTAGCCCAGGAGTTTGAGTCCAGCCTGGGAAACACAGCGAGACCCCCCTCTCTTAAAAAAAAAAAAATAGTATTGATTTGGGTCTCTGTCTGGATCCTTATACTATCATAATAAAAGTCACCAGCAAACTTCATTTTTCTGCCATGGATTTGCAAATAAACTTGAGGAATCTTTTTTTTTTTTTTTTTTTTAACATTCCAGGCAGTTGGCTAAAAAAATCCACCAGAAATTTTTTTCAAAACAATTAACCAATATTAGAAGAATAAAAAAATTACAAGCATGCTGGAGGGACATATGTAACAACTGACTGAATGGGTAATTCACGTGAGAGTCTAGGTATTAGTCACCACTTTTCAATTGTCCTCCATAAAGACATTACACAAATGTGCCAGTCCTCTTCACTGTCTTTTGGGAAATAATATCGGCTTTTTCAAGGTTTCCAAGAACAAACCTCTGGTATGTTCAAAACTGGGCTAGAGTTATGGAGAATAGGCTTTTGTTTTGAGATTAGTCACAGACATCACTTCACCTCTCAGTTCAGTTTTTCTTTGTTCTAGAAACGAATTAGACATAAACTATAACAAGACACAATGAACACCAAGATGAGTTAAAATCACACTTCAGGGAAACAGATGGACAGGTGAATGGAAGAAAGACAGGACATTGTATTTTTTACTTTGTTAGTATCTTTACTGTTGAGTACCAAGTTCTTATTTAAAAAGCTCTTATTTACCAAAGGGCAAGGACAATTAGAAATCATAATTTTCTTTAATTTTAAATTTAAAATATTTTCTTTAAATGTCCTGTCATTAAATATTTGATGGATTGAGGTTATTTTGGTGAGTAAAACTTAAACTACACATTTTTTAAAATCAGAATAATCTTTATTAATAATATTGTACCCCCCATTCGCCAGGAAACTCAGCATGTTTGAGGCAGACGTGATTTTTATAATTCGATTAGAATCTGAAAAAAAGCCTTTTAAAATAACTCCCCCAAATGTTATCTATATGGATTTGATCATGCTCTCTATTAAAACCATTAAAATCTGATTCTTCTATCAATGGGACTTGGGATATTGCATCAGTTAAACCATAATAGTGAATCCTGGAATCAAAGTTAGAGTAATATTTCAAATCCATCATTAGTGCTTCAAATAACAAAAGCTGACATTTTGTGCTCATTTGCAGTCAGCAGGAATTTGGCAGGAAGATATCAAGTAGAGGGTTTCAGAAATTTTTCACAGAACTGATGGGACGTCTGTATGGTATTTTTCTCTGGTGAAGAGCAAACTTTTGTAACCAGTGTGAATAACAAGATTAAAGCCAATATGTGCCTGATCAGACCACTCTTCTGCACCTAGAAAAATTACAGTTATCCAGAACTCTGTCCTCTCTACAGCTAAGCAGGCAGAGATACCTGTGGCATTCATGTAGGTTTCATGACTAAATTTTGTCTTACTTTTTCTGTATCAAATACCTTGGCAAGTGGGCAGATCACTTTCCACTACACAAAAGCCACTTTTTATATTTGATATCTTCTTTAGAAAGTGCACAGAAGATATCTAACCAGAGCCTAGCAGTCAACTCCTTTTTCTTGTAATTGTCTTTACATATGAAAACTAATCTGCTATAAATCAAACAAAATATTATTTTAAACATTTTCTTTTTTTTGAGACAATGTTTCGCTTTTGTTGCCCAGGCCGGAGTGCAATGATGCAATCTCGGCTCACCACAACTTCCGCCTCCTGGGTTCAAGCAATTCTCCTGCCTCACCCTCCCAAGTAGCTGGGATCAGAGGCATGGGCCACCATGCCTGGCTAATTTTGTATTTTTAGTAGAGACAGGGTTTCTCCATGTTGGTCAGGCTGGTCTTGAACTCCCAATCTTAGGTGATCCTCCCACCTCAGCCTCCCAAAGTGCTGGGATTACAGGTGTAAGCCACCACGCCCGGCCTTAAACATTTTTTATGTAGCAAGTATTTACCAAGTACCTACTACACAGCAAGCATTTTTATTGGCTATTAGGATATAGCTGTAAGGAAAACAGGGCTTCTTTTGTCACTTAGCTTAGGTCCTAATGGGAAGATACACAATAAAGAAACGGACAACATGCCAGGTTGTGGGACGTGTCCTGAAGAAAAGGATAAAAAATAAGGTGGGGAGAAGATGGTAGAGAATCATCAAAGAATGTTGAGCATGGCCTCGTTGATAAGCTGTGATGTGAAGGAGTGGGTCTTGTAGCTCTGAGAGGAGAGAATATTCCAGACAGAGAAGCTAGTCACATACAAAGGTCCTGTGGCAGGAATGTAGTCAACGTATTTGAAAAATTGCCCATGTGGTTGGAGATGGTTTAGGTGTAGTGCAGAGGTCAGAAGAGATCAAGTCAAAGAGGCAGTGGGTGGTCACATTACAGGGGAATTTATAGGCCATGATAAGGACTTTGGATATTAGCAGGGGTGGATGGAAACAATTGGAATGTTCAGCAGAGGAATGGCGAGCTCCAGTGTGATTTCAAAGGATTGCTTTTTCTCCTGTGAGGAGAATAGACTATGAAAGAATGAGTTTGGAAGCCAGGAGACAGTAATACAGAGGTATGATTGTGGCTTGGACCAAGGAAGAGAGACAGAGAAAAGAGGAGTCGAAAATGACTTCAAGATTTTTGGGGTAAGTAACTGATAAAATACAATCTATTGGAATATGATATATTGAGATGGGGAAGATTGGATAATAAATTTGGAGAAAGTAATCAAAAGTTGGATTTCGTACATGTGTAAACTTGAATTGTCTGTTAGACGTTCATGAGGTGATGTCAAGCTGGCAGCTGATATACGGATATACTAATTGGAGGAACTGTGAAGGCTGGAGAGGTGCATTTGGGAGTAATCAGTGCATGAAGGGTATTTAAAGACATGGGCATGAATGAAATCACTAGAGAGTGAGTGTAAATAGAAAAAAAGAAAGAAAAACTTTGAGGATTGAGCCTTGAAGCATCCAACGTTTAGAGGCTGGAGAGATAAAACAGGTCAAGGAACCAGGAAAGAGTGGACCAATAAAGTGACCAGGGAACCAAGAGACAGAGGAGTCGTGGAGTCCAGCTGAAGAGAGCATTTTGAGAAAAAAAAAAAAAAGTGTTCAATGGTACCAGATGTGACCGAGAGATCAAATAAAAAGTAAACAAAAATGTGTATTGGATTTGGCAACTTTATGGTCATTAGTGACCTTAACAAGTGCAATTTCTATGTGCTGGGTAGGTGGGCAGTGGTGTATTGGAAAATTTTCAAAACTGACAATCTGGGGAAAAAAAACAAAAACCCAACAATTCTGATTGAAACATTGTCCAATTTGCATGGTGTAAACAGAACCATCATGGCTAATTTCAAGCTTCCAATGTGACTTTTCTTAATACTGAATTAGAAAATGACATACACAATTGGCTCTTGCAAGCAAGAGAAAGGGGTGTGAATAAAAAGTTACAAATAGAATTCTATTAAAAATACACATGCAACAAAGTAAAAACAGCTTATTCATTTTAAGACATATTAGAAAGTTATATATGTCTATAAAATGTATGTCCTTGGAACTAGTTACAAGGTCTTGCCATTTATTGATATCATAAATACATTTAATATTTGCTACAGAATTTTTCTACCTAGCATTATTAAAATGTCTGCATATTTTCATGCTTTCAAAGAGAAAAAATAATCTCTAGATTTAGCCTTGGACATTTGTAACTTGATATCTATTTATTTACTGACATTTGAGCAGTGTACTGAAATGGTTAGCTCCCTTTCTTGTCCTGGGTGTGTTAGTGCTAAAAAAAAAAAAAAATCCACTAAAGTGTGCAACTAATGCTCCTTTACATGAAAACTCCCATTTTATACCTTCATTGGTAAATAACTTTTTAAATTTTACTAGTAGCATGTGTTCATTATAGAAAAAGAACCAATAATATGAATAAGCAAAATATGATATAATTGTATATATAATATACAAAGCATTGAACAGAGAATACATAAAGAACCTTTAGAAAACAGGTAGATTTCTAAAAGAAAAAGGTAGCTAGCCAATAAAAAGGTGAGCAAACTAAATAAGAATTTCATTTCATAAGGAAAAAGCTCAAAAGGTTTATAAACACAGGAAAAGATGCTCAATCGAATGAGTACTCAGAGAAATACAAATTTGAATAACAATAAGACACAGTTTCATGCCCACTAGATTGGCAAAACTTTAAAGAAAGGACATTGTCAAGGGTGTAGAACAAGAAAAACTCTGATCAGAAAGTAAATTTATATAACCAAGTTGCAAAGCTGATTGGCACTAATCAGGAGAGTTGAATATGCATACAACTTACAATTTAGCATTTAGTATTCTCCAAAAAAATGCCTGCACACGTAACCACAAAACTTGTATGAGGATATCTAAAAGAGCACTGTTTGTAATACCAAAAAACAAAGAACCAACATTAGAATAAATAAATTGAGGTAAACTCATGTGACAGAATACTGCTAGCACTGAAGATAAACAAGTGACTGCTACATGCATCAACTTAGATAAATCTCAAAAATGTAATATTAAGTGAAAGAAATAAGTATGATTCATACATATAGTATGATGAATATATATGATAATGTATATAGTATGAATGACTATATTATATGAGTGAATATATAAGATGTATGTAGTATTAATCTATATACTATGATTATGTATAGTATAATGAATACATAGCATTCTGATGAATATATATTGTTTGATTTATCCTATAAAAAGTTTCCTTTTAAAGGCAAACAAGAAATATACATACGCTGGTGGTTAAAAATATAAAGAAATGGAAGGGGCTGATTAACACAAAATCAGGATAGTGGTTACTTCTGGGTGGTGGAAAGAGTAGATGATATTGGAGGGTGGTATACAGAAGGTTTTAAATTTACTAATAATGTTCTGTGTCTTAATCTTGGTGGTATAATCATCAGTGTCCATTTTATGATTTCTAAACTAGAAATGTTTTTTATGTTGTTTTATGTGCACACTATTTTTTCTGCATACTCCTACTCTCTATATATAACAAAAATGAACAACTAGAGGAAGAAGAAACAGTAGACAGTTAAGAATCTTCTATCCTGGGCAACATAGACCTCATCCCTACTGAAAACAACAAAAAGTGGTGGCGTGTGCCTGTAGTCCCAAATACTTGGGAGGTTGAAGCAGGAGGATTGCTTAAGCCTGTAAAACTGAGGCTACAGTGAACTACGATGGTGCCACTGCACTCTAGCCTGGGTGACAGAGCAAGACTCTGTCTTAAAAAAAAGAAAACAAAATCTTCTTTTTCTTTTTTCTTTTTATTATACTTTAAGTTCTGGGATACACGTGTAGAATGTGCAAGTTTGTTATACAGGTATACACATGCCATGGTGGTTTGCTGCACCCATCAACCTGCCACCTACATTAGGTATTTCTCCTAATGCTATCCCTCCCCTATCTCCCCACCCCCAAACAGGCCCCGGTGTGTGAAGTTCCCCCCTCTGTGTCCATGTGTTCTCATTGTTCATCTCCCACTTATGAGTGAGAACGTGCAGTGTTTGGTTTTCTGTTCTTGTGTTAGTTGCTGAGTCCCTGCAAAGGACATGAACTCATCCTTTTTTATGGCTCCGCAGTATTCCGTGGTGTATATCTGCCACATTTTCTTTATGCAGTCTATTGTTGATGGACATTTGGGTTTGTTCCAAGTCTTTGCTATTGTGAAGAGTGCCGCAATAACTGTGTGCATGTGTCTTTATAGTACAATGATTTATAATATTTAGGTATATACCCAGTAATGGGATTGCTGGGTCAAATAGTATTTCTAGTTCTAGATCCTTGAGGAATCGCCACACTGTGTTCCACAATGGTTGAACTAATTTACCCTCCCACCAACAGTGTGAAGGCGTTCCTATTTCTCCACATCCTCTCCAGCATCTGTTGTTTCCTGACTTTTTAATGCTCACCATTCTAACTGGCATGAGATGGTGTCTCATTGTGGTTTTGATTTGCATTTCTCTAATTACCAGTGATGATGAGCTTTTTTTCATATGTTTGTTGTCTGCATAAATGTCTTCTTTTGAGGAATGTCAGTAATCTAGATAAGCAACATAGATCTGGGCTATGTTGACAAGAATGGGAATGGAGACAAACAATGCAAATGACAGTAGAGAATATAAAGCAATCAAACCTGTTGGTTGCTGGGCAATGGACGTAAGAGAACACAGTTAATTTAAGGTGTCTCCATGCTGTGAAACCCTGTCAACATTGAAAGACAACAGAGTTAGAGAGAAAATGGCATAACAGCAGGAAGAAGCAGAATTGCCCTTATTGGGGAGCAAAGTCAGAAGTGGAAATTAATATTTGAGAGTCATCGGGTTATTATGACAATTGGCTATACATTAGTGGATACATTATCCCAGGGAAAGAGTATAAAATAACAGCATAGAGAATTAGGCTTTGAGGAATTTCCCTAACAGGAAATAAGGAGGGAGTTAAAGGAAGTCTTGTCCTCCCAGAAAAATATTTTGAAAACCACAAAATTGATAATCTCATCTCCACTAGCCAAAACTCTTCACAGCTTCAGATAATTTCTAAACTCTACAGCGTTCTACAAAATGCTATGTATGTTCTGATTGTATCTCCAGCCAGCTCCAGCTCCTGTGACTACCACCTATCTGCCATACACACTGAAGTATTTGCCGTCTTCTCCCATTGCTGCATGACCTTGACCTTGTAATTACTTTCCCTTCTGCCTGGATAGAGCCTTATCATCACACCAGATCCAGCGACCCCTCCTCTTAGAAGCCTCCCTTTACTGCTTTAAGTTGATCAGAAGCCCCACTTCTCCAGTTCACAGCAATCTTTCCACCACTGTATCACACATTTATCATACTCTTATATAATTGTTTCATTCTTGTCTCTTGCTTGAAGATGGTGCTAACTTTCATTTCTGTATCCACACTTAGCTGCAAGTGCACCAAGAAGGCCTTTAATAAGTGTTTGCTAAATAAATTAGTAGATGACTAAATAAATCAGTAACAAATGAAAAAGCCAAATGTTTCAAAAAACATTTATCAGGAGACATTTGGAAAGGGGAGTGAATGGTTAATAAAATCTTGTTACACTCAGGCTGTGGGGAATGGGAAAGGAGAAAACACTTGATTTAAAAATAAAGTGGTAAGAGACACAGCCTCCAAGTGGACTCTAGCTCCAGAACTGCCTGCCTTCAACGGGGTCCTAGCAGCATGGTCCTAGTGGCAGAGACCAGCACCACTGTGAGTGAGATAGTCGCTCTGGGTCCCTACCAAAAGCCCCAACCAAACTGCTTTAACCTCGTGATGATGGGCTTTGTGATGGATTTCAATGTGTTCATGGCAGTTCTTCAGCAACTTTTCCTGTCTCAAGATCAGAATACAGGTTTGGATCAGGCATGGTGGCTCATGCCTGTAATCCCAGCACTCTGGGAGGCCAAGGTGGGAGGATGGTTAGAGCTCAGCAGTTCGAGACCAGCCTGGGCAACATTGCAAAACCCTTCATCTACAAAAAATACAACAACAACAAATTAACCAGGCATGGTGGCACGCACCTGTAGTCCCAGCTACTCTAGGGCCTGAGGTGGGAGAATTGTTTGAGCCTTGGCGGTTGATGCTGCAGCAAGTTGTGATCATGCCATTGCACTCCAGCCTGGGGGACAGAGCAGGAACCTGTCTCAAACAAACAAACAAATACAGGGTTGGGGGTTGATGGGTGGCATTGAGAAAATCATTGTACAGGTAGTGGCACCTTTGGCACAGCTGTGGCCATGGAATAGGCATCTGATGCTAACCAGGGAAGTGGTTGCTGGCTACATGTATACCCTCCCATCAGTACCAACCCATGTACTATAATAAAACAAAGTATTTGAGTAGTCTGAAAACAAAACAAAACAACAACAACAAAATAACAGTGAGGTAGTCAGTGGTGAGCTCCAGGACTTTTAAGTTCAGCAAGTACTTAGGCCAGAAGCCATGTGAAGGATGGGTGGGGAGTACACTCTGAGCACTGAGGGTTAAGTGAAAAATAGAGGCACCATGGGACTATTTTATTTTATCTTCTTTTATTTTATTATTTTGAGACAGGGTCTCACTCTGTCACCCAGGCTGGTGTGCAGTGGCACAATCACGGCTCACTGCAGCCTTAACCTCCTGAGCTCAAGCAATCCTCCCACCTCAGTCTCCCGAGTAGTTGGGACCACAGGTGCATGCCACCACACCTGGCTAATTTTTGTATTTTTTGTAGAAATGGGATTTCACCATGTTTCCTAGGCTGATCTCAAACTCCTGGGCTCAAGCAATCTGCCCACCTCAGTGTCCCAAAGTGCTGGGATTACAGGCATGAGCCACCGCACCCAGCCACCACGTGATTAATTTTAGTTGAAAAGTCCAGTGACTAAAAGCATCAGTGAGGTTATTCAGAAACTTTGAGAAGAGTGTGGACACAGATATGCCTGGATGAATCAGTGATAGAGGGTACATTAAGAAGGTGCCACTAAAGAGCAAAAGGGTTCGTGGGAACTGGAAAGCGATCTTGGGTCAGTGCACTGGTAAGCTCATATTCTGGAAGGAAGGGTGAGATAATGATTGGAGAAATAAACTTAGCACTAAATGGGGAGGAGGAGGATGAAGGTCTAAGTGAGTGTCTTGTTGGGAGCACCTACATTAGGAAATATGCTTGAGCATGGATGAAGGAAAAGGAAAAAATTTAACAGAAGAATGATGATCTGGGAAATGTATTATGGATTTACTGTCATCTGGGTGGTTCCACAATATAGCTCTAGGGCTGGAAAGAAAATCAGAAGCTACTGCTCACAGTTGATAAAGATAAGCTGCCCAACCTTCCATGTGCTCCCATTTTCAAAGTATCCAAATCACCTGTGTATTTCCTATGTTTTCCAAACTTAGTTTGTGGAAGGTACTCAGCAATTAGTCCAGGCATCTTCCTTTATTTTAATATTTAAAGTCTTTCTGGTTCACATCCATTGGTTTAAATAAGAACACATCTGTCTACCACTCCCTGCTCCCAACACATACCAAACATCATTTATTGATTTTTCTGTTACTATAATATTGAAGTCTCAATACTCAAAATTGCCCTTTATACAAATGCTCATGTTTCTTAGTTTTCATGTCTGCATGTTAAAATAGGTGAATGTTGGGATCTAAATAGTGATTTTTACGGCAGCAATAAAATATTGTTTATGAATATATATATATATATATATATATATAATTTTTTCTTTGAGATGGAGTTTTGCTCTTGTTGCCCAGGCTGGAGTGCAGTGGCACAATCTCAGCTCACTGCAACCTCTGCCTCCCGGGTTCAAGTGATTCTTCTGCCTCAGTCTCCTGAGTAGCTGGGATTACAGGCACGTGCCACCATGCCCGGCTAATTTTTTGTATTTTTAGTGGAGACAGGGTTTCATTTTGACCAGGCTGGTCTCAAACTCCTGACCTCAGGTGATCCACCCACCTCAGCCTCCCAAAGTGCATGTCTTCAATATTCCATCTTTTGCCTTTGTGATTTTGTAATATCTACTCGAGATCTCAATAACCTACTTTTTGAAACAAGGATGAGTTGCATCAACATGGCTCAAAAACTTCCTGCTCCTGATACCTATAGCACCTTAGCTTTGTAGCATAGTAGTCAGTTCCTGGTATCAGTGGTTAGTCCCTGTTTGAATGCTGGTCCGTTGCTTCCCAGTTGTATAAGTTTAAGTGTGTCACTTACTCCTTCTAAGCCTCAGTCCCCGCATCTGTGAAGTGGAGATTAGTATCAGCTCATGAAGTTACTGAAAACCATAAATGAGCATGGTGCTGGCACATGGAGTATTCAACAAATATTTATTAGTTGTAGAAAAGTTATAATGGTATTATGATTTTAAAGGCAAGCTTGCTTTTAAATTTTGCATCACTTTTTTAATGGTATTAAAATAAAAATAAAACAGATTCCTCTTCCTCATCTCTTAATCTGGTAGAATAATTGGTCTTGTGGTATGAGGCCAAGACAATCAGTTTCTGATATGTTAAACAATCTGGAAATGATATCAGGTATTTAAGAGTGTCTCAGATAATAAAAGTCTATAGAATTGAGGATGCTGAAGTTTTTTTCAAATACAGTTAGTAAGAACACATTGAAGGTATGAACTTGATGACCTTCTCCTGGTTTGATGTCATTTTTTAGCGGTAGCCAAAGAAATGAAAGCTCTATAATTTAGGGTGAGCGAGCTGGGAAAGAATAAGCAAACTAAAAATTGTTAGTTGACTTCAGGGGATAGAGTTGGTCCCCTGGAACCAGCTCTTTCTAATATTAAGTGACTCTCAGTTGCTGCTCCAAAAATCGTGACAATGTATTTGAATTTGGTTTCTGTAGAGAGACTGGGACTTATTAAACCCACCACAGCCCCAGATTTCCAACCATATTAGGCATTTGCGAGAGCCTTGCCCTGCAGAACGTGATCTAAAGGCTGCCAAAATGAATGGCAAAGCTGTTGCATATCAGGATATCATTAGTGGATTACTTCTATCTAGAGATTACTTTCAAAGGTTATTTAGTAAACTGTAATTTTAAGCCTATTTCGTGTGCCTGGCCTTGAGAAAGTAGTAAAAATTTTAGTTGCTATGGGACACTCTAGAAAGAACACAAAATTCACAACAGTATCAACAAAAAGTAACTATTAAAATACAAGTATGCACAGATATTAGAGTGATAGATCCTGAAATTTAGAGAACTGAAGATTTGTACTCATTATAATAAAACTAGTCATAGTACAAAAATATGAACACAATTATGATATGTGAATATTATCAAAACAACTGACCAGATGATTTTTAAAAATAAGAAAAAGTTCATTGTGCAGTGTCACAGAAAAAGTTTTCAGACTGAAATTTTACTTACCACACTAGCTGTGCTCATTATTACAAAATAATTTAGAGTTCTCAGAGCAGTCTCTTCTATGCGCTGAAGAAATTAAGATGTTTTTTTCATACACTTAATAAGTCTTTGATTTAGTGTTACCATTGTTGCACTAAAAATAATATAGGTACTTTCTACTGTTAGAGAACTCTGGGGCAGAATTTTACAAGTGAGTGGTAAATATCAACTAACTGCTTTATCATTCAATTTCTTATATGTTAGAAAAACTCCCTTTTAGGCAATTACCAACTAATCATCAAATATCGATAGACCCCTACTCTGTGTCTAGCCCGATACTTGGCATTGGCAGTTATGGACATAAATGTGACAGACATGGTCTCTCTTCCCATGGAGTTTGTAGTCTATTGAGGAGGATGTGCGAAATGTGCGTAATTACAAGAGAGCTGAGAATCTCACCAAAGGTTGAGTACAGAGCACTATGGGAGCATGTACTAGGGAATTAACCAATTTCCAGCAAATAAAAATAAATAATTCATGTAGATGAGAAGCACCTTAAAACTGATTTTTCTGGATTAGTACATAGTTTTCTTCAGTACACTTCAGTACACTGCACATAAATATTTCAAAGCCTTAAAGTTTTTATACCTGGCCTCTTCCCCAAAATTGTTTGAGGCAGATAATATTTCTGTTAGCAAATTAGTCTTACATATCTATGAAAGAAATGCAAATACTTTCATCTTTTATCAATAAACTTTAAACAAGATAAGCCACCCCAATCTTTGTTGTTAATTTGAAACCTTTCGTCCTTCTCAGCTGACAAAAAAGAGCAATCCGTCATTCCAAAGGTGCATATCTTTGTGCCTTCTCACATGTACCACACTTTTGGTTGAAGGTCTGTCTAGATGTCTGCTTCAGCAATAAATATTTTTCCTTTACCACATGACAAGCATTTAATTGACAATCTGATAAATGCTACCAACAAAAAAAAAAAGCTATCAACTCTTTCCTCCAGTGTTCTATCATCAATTATCTCACCATTCAGAATATCCATAAAATATTCAGATCACTATGTAATAAAAAAGCTGTGGATGTATGCCATTGTGAGATAGCATATGTTCAGCAGCAAATGCTCAGTGACCTAGGAAGTGCTTCTTCCTCTCATAACACATGCCTTGGACAATCTGAACAGAAGTTCTGAAGTGGTAACCAAAACACGCTTCCTTCCACGACAGATGATGCATCCTGTCATTTTTTAGAAAAGTGATTTAATCATTTCAATGAAATGCTTTTTGAAACAAAATTAAATTTTAGCAGTTTACATACTTTCTACCTGATACTGTGCTTTTTTCACACACTAGCGTTATTGATGGCAGGATACAAGGAAAGGCACGTTAAAAAGCCAAGCTAGAGTTCTGTATGTGAAGTATATATATATATTTTTAACATACATCTAAGGCTAAGTAACAATCATTTATCCTACCTGGGCTTCAGTTTCTCCACCTCTCAAATGGTTCAAGGAGTCAGGGATTTGGCAATCTGAGCTTTTTCCTGCAAGACTGTTTTTATGTGGAATAAAAGGGTACACTTTAAGAAAAAATTACTGTGTAGTCTCTCAGCCATAAAAAGAAATGAATTAATGGCATTCACAGCCACCTGAATGAGATTGGAGACTATTATTCTAAGTGAAGTAACTCAGGAATGGAAAACCAAACATCATATGTTCTCGCTCATAAGTGGGAGCTAAGCTATGAGGATCCAAAGGTGCAAGAATGACACAATGGACTTTGGAGACTCAGGGGGAAAGGGTGGAAAGGGGGTGAGGGATAAAAGACTACAAACAGGGTGCAGTATATATTGCTCAGGTGATGGGTGCACCAAAATCTCACAAATCACCACTAAAGAATTTACTCATGTAACCAAACACCATCTGTTCCCCAGCTACCTATGGAAATAAATTGGAAAAAAAAAAAAAGAAAAAATTACTTAGTAGTCTTGTAGAAAGAAGATTGGACTTTGTCATATCAATTTGAAAAGATAAAACTGAAGGGAACTATAGGAATCATTTAGTCAAATCTTTTCATTTTATGCATGAAAAACTGGAACCAAAAGTGGTTAAAGAAATTGTCCCAGGCTACACAAACTGTTTAGGGGCAGAACTGAGATTAGAACCCTGCCTTCTTGGCTCCTGGCTTAAATTTTAGCAACTAGGATGATAGTCACAAACCTGTTTCTTATTTGTAAAGAAGATTGAAATTAACAAATGATAATGATGACTAACATTAAAGATGTGATGTGACAAACTAAAAGAAAGACTAGTCCAAGGAGCCTGAAACTCTACATGCGGATCTGGGCTCCACAGCCACCTCTGGCCTGTATGGCACCTACCTTTTCAACTGCTCAGTCAAAAAAATTAGATGATCTTGTGAGTCTTTATGTATTTATATGCAGATTAAAATAAAATCTTTAGGTAAAAGAGGATAAATAAATTCAGAATACAATATTAGGAACAAAACCAACCAGCAAGACTCAAATTTGTGTAGTTCAGGACTTAAGAATTCAGGCATTTGGCATCTTACAAATCTGAGTTCACATTACAGCTCTGCCACTTCAAACTGTTTATTTAGTTTACCTCTCTGAGCCTCTGTTTCCTCATCTGTCAAATAGATTTAATAATATTTACCATAAAGACTAGCCAAGATTGCGTGTATATAACTCATTGTGTCAACCTACTGGTATATAAACATGAATCGATTTAACCTAATTTCCCTAAATTGTGGCAGTTCCTTTGATAACATCATAGTCAGACGCCCTAACTGTAAAGTCACCTTTGCTTACAGAATAACATATTATTGATATATCAGAATAGTATCCATATAAGCAGATAAGACTCGTTCCTGGTGATTTTAAGACTTCAGTCTCCTGGCAGCAAACCACCATGGCACACGTATACCTATGTAACAAACCTGCACATTCTGCACATGTATCCCAGAACTTAAGTATAATTTTAAAAAAAACCTTCAATCTCATAATTTCATATTTTTTCAAAGCTCAAACTTGGAGCATGTGAGCAGGAGTAGAGCACAATGTGCATTTCTATATTTTATGTGTTGATTCCTCTCTATCTTTCTCCTAGTTTCCATTCCCACAGGCTTCAGCCTCTAGGATTCAGTCACTTCTAGGATGTCTCCCTCCCCCAACAATTAAGGAGAGAGAGGTGATTCTGCTCAAGTGACTACTATTTGCCGGTGTGGGGAGGAGGCTTTGCCTGATACAAGAACACGGCTTCTGCCCTTTATTTTTATCTGTTGCTTCATGTGAAGCCACTGCAACCCTTGAGCTCCTTGGACCCCTTGAAAGCTATGGAGAACTGAGATGGAGGGGGATTGACCTATCTTCTCTGATGTTCTCTACAACTTGGTCTCTTCGAGCACCTTTGGCTCTGACAATTCCTATGAGCTTCTAGCCATCAGAAATCTCTAACATAGGAGTGGAAACCTCAGTCTTCAAGGGGTATTAATCATGTCACTAGCTTCTGTAAACTTGATGCTTTAACATTGGCCCTATGTGTATATGCTAGACACGTCTTGTTCTGAACAACATGATAATATGCCTGGGTCACCTGGCCTTGGTCTCCTGCTTCTTCCTTCATTTAGCAAACTGCCCCCCTCTGCCATATCCCTCTCCTAGAGGTAGGCTTTTCAAATACAATCCAGTCCAGAGTCCACACTCCCAGTCACCTCCTTTACAGGGCTCCCACACTCTCAGCCACTATACACCGGCGCCCTAATTACCCTAAGGCCAAGTACCAAACAACTAGGGACATCCTTATGCATCAGAGCCCACTGAAATTATTCAAACTAGCCATCTTAAGGCTGAGTGCCTCCCTCACCTGCTCCTTCTCACAGAAACCACAATACAGGCTCTTGCCCATACTACTCCCACCCCTCTCTCGTGGCTGTCCCATGCCTCCTGTGTGGTCCCTTATGGCGTGGCAAGCCTGCTCCTCTTGGAAGCTGTGAGTACTACACTATCTTTGCAAAGGCAATCATTTCCTTATCTATGGGCCTTCCTATCCTTCAAAATTGAATGTAATATAAACTATATTTTAAAGCATGCAGGATACATGTCAAATACTCCTTTCATCTTTCCCATGTTAAGGGAGCTGGGTCCACAGGTTTTTCCTACTCTCACAACATTTGGCTTTCAAATAGGCCTTGGAGGTTGAGCATCTCTTATTCAAAAATCTGAAATCCAAAATGTTTCAATGAACATATCCTTTGAGTATCATGTCAGTGCTCAGAAAGTTTCAGATTCTGGAGCATTTCAGATTTTAGAGTTTTAAATTAGTGATACTCAACCTGTAATAAAGATGACCAGGTCCTTCATAACATCTTGGAGTAACTTCACCAGTCTTGACTTATTGCCTCTGGACTTCTTGATTTGCTTAAAAATAATCCCATATTTAGTTGAGTCACTATGATGAGGTATTCTTTTTTGCCTTATGCATAGCTTCAGTTAGGAATGATTCAATAGCAAGCAAAGTCTCTGCCCTCAAAGAGTGTATAAGGATAGGGATATACCTAACCCTATTTATTCTATACCGCAGTTCTGGTACAAAAGGAAAAATTTCACTGATGGTCTATTACACATATAAAGCAATTTCCCTTGTGCCTAGCCCACAATAAATAATGAATAAATTATACATGTTGTTATCATAACTTTTACACAGTATTAGTTAACACAGCTTCAAATTCTATTAAGTCAGATTAAACCCAATCTATTATTTACTTCAGTATAAAAAAGTACCCAGAATATTAAGTAAAATACTCCTCTAAAATGTTATTAACACTTTTGGTTTTAGAATGCCACACAAATATATAGTGTTGGTATATTAATTTTCTTTCTTACTCCTGTTGAGAGCATATTCATAGAGTAACCTCATCTGAAAACAATGTGTGATTAAATGTTCTTAATGCTAAGCTAGCCAGTGATAGCATTTAAAATGTTCTCTTTTCACATTATTTTTAGAGAGCAAAGAATCACATATAATTAAAGTGGTGGATTTTTGCCTTACAAAAATCAATACTGGGATTAAAAAGCCACAGAGAGTTTTCTTTAGTGCTTAACTTAAACTGATGTTTTTCTTTTCAAACTTTCCCTAATTCCTGTGCAACTCTCCAAAAACACAAAATTCTTGTGACTAAATATTTTAGATGGTGACTTTAGCTCACAAAGATTTTTCTATCTTTTGAAAACCTCTGGATTGAAAATAAAGAAAACCTATTTCAATTTAGTTTAAGCAAATTAAGCTGATCTCAACACCAGAACCAGGAATTATCTGTTTTCTCTGTTTCTCTCTTTCTTTTTTCTTCATTCCTGTTTCTTGGGTTGACTACATCCTTTCCTAATGGCAGAGGGGTCTTCTTATGCAGCAGAGAAAATGGCCACTATCAGCACAGGACTTACATCTTTCCAGATTAATAAAAACAGGAAAAAGTTGTTTGTTGCTGTTGTTGTTATTTGCTTGTTGCTCCTTTAAAAATCTTTCCTACTTTCCATTTGGCAATCCAGAGAGGTACTTTTGCCTAGTTCTTCTCAGGTCTACTGTGGGGGAGAGTGACCAGGATGATCACCCATTTAAAGTAAGGACTGTGGTAGACTGTTTACAAACATGGCTGTCAACAGTTGTCTCTCTTTCTGTACATTGCATGGTACACCCGTCATCAGGAGGGAAGAATCTATCCTCTACCCAGAATCTGCACTGACCCTGTGTCTCGCTATGACCAATAGAATGTGGCAGAAATGATGCTGTGATGTGTGATGGTTGCATGCCTAAGTTGTAAGAGACTGGTGTCTTCTTGGAAGTCAACTGCCATGTAAAAAAGCTGGAGTAAGCAGTGAATGATGAGTGCTCTAGTACTTAGAGAAAAACCACAGCACACCAGCCTTTCCACATCCCAGCTGAGGCGTCAGGTATGTAACTGAAGCCATTTTGGACATTTCATCCCCCATTAAGCTCCCAGCTGAATGCTGCCGCATGAGTAACTCAGTCAACTCCACCTACACCACCTGGAGCACAGATAAGCTGTCCCTGCACTGAATCACAGAAATTACAGTTGTTTTAAGTCACTAAGTTATAGAGTGGCTTGTTATGCAGGAATAGATAACTGAAGCAGTTACAGTGTGGCCCAGCCTGGGTCATGTGCTGCACTCTCTTTATGGTTAAGAAGCAATATGCTACCAGCAGAATGGTGACTGGTATTAATAGAAAAGACATAGCCACTTAAAGACACGCCACATCAATTTCTCTCTACCAGGACCTGACAAAATGCAAGAGTAAGTTATGTCACAGAGTAGAGTCTATTTTAGGGGCTGGCATCTGAGTGTGTCAGGAATATTAGAATTTCCTTAAAAGGAGATTAAATGGTATAACTATTTGTCTAGGACTGGTCCTGGATGTACTATTACCTTGTTATTCATGTTGCTATAGACACTACTATGTGTCAGGAAACTGCTACCTACGAGGCATGGACTAAAAAGGAAGACTATGTGGATCTTCAAAAGGTCCTTTATGATATAACTGATTATTTTTTTTAAAGCATTGTGTCTTTTTTATTTTTTTATTTTTTTTGAGACAGAGTCTGGGTCTCTAGCTCAGGCTGGAGTGCAGTGGTGCGATCTCTGCTCACTACAACCTCTGCCTCCTGGGTCCCAGTTCAAGAAATTCTCCTGCCTCAGCCTCCCGGGTAGCTGGGATTATAGGCATGTGCCACCATGCCCAGCTAACTTTTGTATTTTTAGTAGAGATGGGGTTTTACCATGTTGGCCAGGCTGGTCTTGAACTCCTGACCTCGTGATCCACCCGCCTTGGCCTCCCAAAGTGCTGGGATTACAGGGTGCGCCACCACACCCGGACTCTTTTTTAAAAAATAATTTCAACTTTTATTTTAGGTACAGGGGGTACGTGTGCAGGTTTGTTACATTGGTATATGGCATGATTCTGAGGTTTGGGGTATGGGTTCCATACCCCATAGTGAGCATAGTACAGAAAAGAAAGTACCATAAGTCTTTTAAATAATTATTAGAGAATTATACTTATTTTTTTAAAACTTTTTTTTTTTTTTTGAGATGGAGTCTCACTGTGTTGCCAGGCTGGAGTGCAGTGGTGTGATCTCGGCTGACTGCAACCTCCACCTCCTGGGTTCAAGCGCTTCTCCTGCCTCAGCCTCCTGAGTAGCTAGGACTACAGGCACCCACCACCAGGCCCAGCTAATTTTTGTACTTTTAGTAGAGACGAGATTTCACCATTTTGGCCAGGATGGTCTCGGTCTCTTGACCTCATGATCTGCCCGCCTCGGCCTCCCAGAGTGCTGGGATTACAGGCGTGAGCCACAGCACCTGGCCGAGAATTACGCTTATTTATTTATTTATTTATTTATTTATTTATTATTTATTTTTTTCGAGACAGAGTCTTGCTCTGTTGCTTAGGCTGGAGTGCAGTGGTCCAGTCTCGGCTCACTGCAACCTCTGCCTCCTGGATTCAAGCAATTCTCCTGCCTCAGCCTCCCAAGTAGCTGGGATTACAGGTGCGCACCACCACGTCCGGCTAATTTTTGTATTTTTAGTAGAGACAGGGTTTGACCATGTTGGTCAGGCTGGTCTCAAACTCCTGATCTTGTGCTCTACCCGCCTCGGCCCCCCAAAGTGCTGGGATTACAGGCGTGAGCCACCGTGCCCGGCCAAAGTACACTTATTTTTAAGACAGTTTAAGATTACTGCCTTCCATGAATGAGTACCAACTTTATGTTGGTATTTACAAATAAGTATCTTTAATGAAATTATTAATTGTCCAACACAGTCAAATATGTAGCCTTCTAGACTTGGAATCAAAACAAAAGTAAATGAAGCAACAACACTTTTTTTTTTTTTTTGCCTTCTGTTTGTTATTTGTTGAATTGTTTTGGATTCTTTTTTTCTTTTCAAGCAAAGCACATGAGTTGCCCAGGAAATAAATATAACTGATATGGACACAGGCATCAACAACAACAGATAAAGTTGGTTTACTATATATAATGGCTTGTAATTTTTTTCATGGTTGGAGAAAATTAGTAGTGTGTGATGGTTATGTTGCCCACATAAAATAGGTGGTAAAGAGATGGTCCACATATGTCACAGAGAATAGAGTCTACTCTGCTACCACAAGTAGAACTTGTCTTCCAGAAACAAATTTCAGGATAGCAAACCCTCACAACTCCCTGAGTTGGGTAGTGGAGAAGTCAAAAAACTTCCCCCTCTATAATACACTGACCAGCATTTGCATTTTGGGCCAGGAATGGAATTGCTTTAGGTTTATGAGTCTCCTGTTTTAAGAAAGGACAGTGTAAAATACACGACAAGCATCAAACCAGCAACAAGAAAATGTAACAAAAGTGAAAGGAAAAAACTTTTTAAAAAGTGGGAAAATAATTTATTATTGGATATATTTATTAGATTATCTCAAAGGAAAACCTTTTGACAAAGGAACTTAGATTTCACTGTTTATATGTGACTATTTTAATGCATCTATATCAAAAATGTGCCTTAAAAATGTAGAGGCTCCACTGTTTATTATCAACTATTATGAACAACAAGTAGCTGTGGCCTGTGTGCTAGCTCTACTCCCCCTTCAAGACATTCTTCTTTTTAATTTTGTTTTTTTTTTTGTTTTTTTTTGTTTTTTTTTTAGACAGGGTCTCACTTTGTCACTCAGGCTGGAATGCAGTGGCACAATCACAGCTCACTGTAGCCTCGACTTCCCAGGTCAGGGGGTCCCACCTCAGCCTCTCTAGTAGCTGGAACTAAAAGCATGCACCACCCTGCCTGGATAATTCTTTGTAAATTTTTTGTAGAGATGGGATTTTGTCATGTTGCCCAGGCTGGTCTCAAATTCCAGGGCTCAAGTTACCCACCTGCCTCAGGCCCCTAAAGTACTGGGATTACGGGTATCTGCCACCCACTGGGCCTGGCCTGAGACATTCGTTTTGTTTTGCTTCTTTACTTACGTGATGTGTGCATATTTATAAATATGCATTCTCTGTATAATCAGGTATAGCAATAAAGACACACACACATATATTTTGGCAAAACTGCAGTTGCTCTTAAGGGTTAGTTAACTGTTTGCAAAACTGTTATAATTAAAAGTGGTATAGTAGTATTATATTTAGTAATAACTTATGCATATTGCTTAGTGCCAACGGGACTCTTAGAAATGTATTTGAGAATTTTCTATGTGGTTGAGATCTAAGGATGAGATTGTATCATTGCTCAATGATCCTTGTCTCCTTCCTAATCTAACATCTCAACACACATGAACACGCATGCACACACACAAAGCAGCACTTAATATATACCCAGTTAAATAAAAATAACATCTTCAGGAAACCTACAAAATCCTCTAGATTGGGGATCCAGTCTCTTAATAAGGCCCATTACTAATTAGTTGAATCTGTCAGTTGAAAGAAAATAGGTAACTTTAAGAGAAATAATCACATGATATGATGTACTGATCATTCAATATACAAGTAAATTCTCAGATAATTTGCAAACCTTTTCCTTTTTTTGGGATGCTGGATGGCACTTTCTGAGTAATTAATAATAATAAACATAAAACTGTTAGTTAAACACAATTTATCTGCAAAACATTGCCTTACTTCCACCTAAAACAAAGCGTGTGTGAATGGGAGTAAGTTTTAAAAGCAGAAATGATATGTTTGTCTTTTCAAGATGCATAAATACCTTTAATGCATTTCAGTGGCATTGCATTCCTCTTAGAAGAAAGACCAATTCCCTTCTTAGGGCCCACCTAGCTTGGGCTGCCTTGGCCTGGCCTCCCTCTCACCCCTGTTATGTGGCTGCTCCCCAGCTACAAACCTTTTATGCACACTTCTCATTCTGCTCTGACCTCACCCTTGGATTTCCCCTATCCCCTGCTTACTAGTCTTGTCCTGAGACTTTAGCCCTTCAGCTTTTAGCCCTGCAGGGTGTAAACTTTCCCTGATCCCTTCCTCCATGTTGCATTCTCATAGGTCACTATTAGCTGTCTTTTGAAGCACATTATCACTGCTGTAATTTTACATTCATTTGTGTGACCATTGACTACTATCTGTCTCTCCCACAAAACTAATTTCCATGAAGGCAGGGACTATGCTTTTTTGCTCATTATTGCATCCTCAGAACCTAACATAGTGCCTGGCACATGGTAGCCATTAAAAACTATTTTAACTAAATGAATGAATTAATTTAAATAATAATTGCTGTTATTCTAGATTTTAGGACTCAGCCTACACTAAAATTAATGGTGTATTTGCACATTTCCACCCACCAAAGTTCTGTCTTCATTCTTTTTTTTCTCACATCTGAAAATGTTTTATGAGATCAGTGTACTAGGATTTTCTTTACTTTTCCTATTTATTTTTTAATGGAGTCACAAATTTTAACTCACTCTATAACTTGGATTTGAAGAAAAATGAGAATACTTTTAATTCTGCCTAAATTTAATTCTGTTGTCTTACGCCAATTACCACCACCCCCATTCCAAATTCCCACACATTAATTAGCAGAAAGAAAAAAATATAAAATATGGTTTAAAGTCTGGTCAGATCCAATGATTTAAATAGTCCATTTAGAGATCAGTCTCTCATATAAGTATGTACAATCTTTCAAGTATCTTCTTACTTGTGTTTCCCTCCTAATGTCTGAGTCTAGGTATGCCTTATATAACTTCATGACAACAGAGATGAGAATGGGGACTTTTGTTGGGATGTCATGTGCCTCTCTACTGGTTGACAGGGCAATGTCCTTTGTTCACTAGTGTTTACCTAGTGGCAATTGCACCTGGGGCCTGGTACATGGTGTAATTTATCATTTAGTCCAGCATGGTTATGTCAGGGCCCAGTGGTGTTCTTTGGCTGATAAATAAAGCACCTAGTACCTTTTGTGTGTCAAGTAAGTATCCAAACGCTACTGTTGATCAAATGTCTGCCAAGACAATCATGAAATAACTTCCTACTTTATTGATTGCCTTCTGTCAACTCTAAGACAAACATTCTTCTCCTCAAAGTGTATTATAATTTTAAAAAATATTACAGAGAGGTTGAAATCCCTTATAGATCCTCCAACCTGGTCCATATTCTCAATAGTTGTATAGCCCAAGCAGAACTTTGCAGTTTGCCTGCTTATGCACATATCTATGCATAAGTGAGAAAAGGTGTTTTGTTCTTCCTGGTTCTGGGACACGCATATGTTAAGTCTATGATTCTATTTGAAACAAACGCAAACCAGGGCTGATTTGGGAAAAGTATGCCTCACAGAAACCACACAATCTAAAAAGAGGTGATGCAGCACTGAACTTTGAAAATTCACTGAAGAAATTTTAGGGGCCATGTTACCCAAATATTTCATTTTACAGCTGATAAAACTATATATCAGGGTGGTTAAGTGATTCACCAAAGATCATACAGGGAGTAGATATCAGAGCCTCCATACAAGCCCTAGTCATCCCTTTGGGTTTTCCTCTATATTATATTGCCTGTCAGACTCATCCTAAGGTGAGACAAATTGAGCAAGTCACCCAGGACCCAGGCTTCAGATTTCACTTCAGAGATTTGCTCTTTGTGGAACAGAAGGTTAGACAGAACAAAGACATATATGTGTATACCTATACTTGACTTCCTTTACTCATCCCCTAGAAGCAAGGCAAAAGGAAATGAAAATGTTAACACCAAGGATCAATTCCCTAATGAGTCAAGAGATAAGTAAACATTCAACCTAGCAATCCCATTCCTAGCTATATACCAAAGGAAAATAAATCATTCTGCCAAAAAGACATCTGCACTTGCATGTTTATCACAACACTATTCACAATGGCAAAGACATGGAATCAACCTAGGTGCCCATTAATAATGGATTGGATAAAGAAAATGTGGTACATATACATTATGGAATACCACACAGCCATAAAAAAGAATGAAATCATGTCCTTTGCAGCAACATGGATGCAACTGGAGGCCATTATCCTAAGTGAATTCATGTAGAAACAGAAAACTAAATACCACATGTTCTGTTCTCACTTATAAGTGGGAGCTAAACATTGGGTACACATGAACATAATAATGGGAACAATAGACACTGGGGACTCCAAAAGGGAAGAGAGACGGAGAGGGGAAAGGGTTGAACAATTGCCTATTGAGTACTATGTTTACTATCTGGGTGATAGATTCAAAGACCAAACCTCAGCATCATGTAGTATTACCATGTAACAAACCTACACATGTATCCCCTGAATGTGAAAGAAAAAAGAGAGATCAGTAAAGAATATAGAAATAAAAAGACAGAAAAGAGAGTAAGAAATGAGGGAAGTAAGGGAGAGTGGGAGCGAGGAAGAGGGGAGAGAAAAAAGAAGGGAGGAGGAAGAGAAAGAGGAAAATGGAAGGAGGGAGGTAATGAAGAAAGACAAAACATGTGTAGATAAGGTAGAATATTGCTGGAACCCACAGGATTGCTGACCAGCCACAGCAATGGCAAATGGTTTCCTCTGCCCAAGTCAGGGAAAGAATCTGAAGCTTTTAGGAAACTATACCAACTGTAGACAAAAAAAAAAAATAAAAAGTTCTGGAAGGCAGGGATTAAAAATGCAGGTAATACTCAATACTGCATTTCTCAAACTGAAGGAGTCCTGTAAGTATCCAGAGAGCCATCAGAAAGCCTAAAATAGTGCACATCTGTACATTTAATTTTGTTAAATCAGTTTGCATAGCATTTCAGGATTAATGAATGGAATGCAGTTTATAAATGTCAGTTATAACTATAATGTTAACCCTGTGCCGTAATTTAATTCAATGAAGCTAAAGGCTAGTAAATTTAGAACCAATAAAAGGAAATACTTCCTTTCATTGTACACGTCACCCCACTGAGACCATTGCCAGAAGGTCATTGACATGGTGCCAGGTTTAAGAAGGAATTTGACAGGCTTCAATTAGATATATATGGTCAGTCAAAGTGGAGGTGATTTAAGAGTTACAAAATCTCGTGCTCTGGGTATTACCGAAAGCCTGTGCTAGGGTCATGCAGATCCTTCACCCTCTTTGCCCTGCACAGCTTATGGTGCATTAATCACAACTGCTTTTTATACTGAAGGATGCACAATTGATTTAGAGACGAGATTAGAGGGAAAGGTGTTCCTTTGCACCATGAACTTCCCACTGAATCTGGATGCTCTGCTTCCATCAGGGAGTGATCCTGAAGAGGGACTTAGAGGCCCCATGGATATCTATAGCCTTCGGGAAAAAGTCCCCCAAGTTCTCCTGAAGAGTAGGTATGGGGTAACTTTGGGCCAATTCACCCCTCTCCCTCTAACTTCTCAACTGTGCGTATTTTCCCATTAGAGATATCCATCTTGGGAACCATGGTTCCCATTGATTGCCACTTCAACTCTACCTCTAAACCAGTAACTTCCTTGAAAGTAAAGGGACAGGGCAGCAAGCCCTAAATACTGCTCCTTCCATTACCTTTGAGTAAAGGTAAAAGCCCATGCTTACATACCTGGCTCTATCTCACCTAGTGGATTTCGAGGGACCTTCCCTAGGGACAGTTTGGAAATGCAGGGGAGTGGATTTGTCTTCTAGAGTAGAGGTCCCTAGGTATTTACATATTGAAACACATTGTTTAGTTATATACTGTTTTTTATTTCTTCCTTATTTTACAGCAATTTTTTAAAGTTCTGTTATATTATCTCTGAATTTTATTTCATAGTGGTAAAGGAGATTTACAAAATATTTGTTGTAAGAGTAGAGTGTTAGATCAGAGAGTTTGAGAACCACAGATAGACAGCATGGGTTTCAACATTCACATATACTTGAATGATTTTTTTCCAGCTAAGTATCTAGGTTTCCTGTTCTGTATCTCACTGTTGATTCCTTCAAACTCATTGATTGCTCACTGATGCTTCTATTTCTGGTAAACACTGATGGTGTTGCCTTGGGTCACTTGCTACTGCTATCTTTATTCCTCCAAGTTCTGGATTTTTCATTATTTTAAGGGCCATATTCCTTTGTCTTTGTCCAGAAAGTCAAGATCTTTCAATGTGACTATTAGTAGGTTTTTCAGTATCTGATGGCAAACTGTAACTGTATGAGTTTTCTCACTTATGTGGGAGTTAAGAAATCAGAGTTGGAGAAGCATTGATTCAGCTCTTAAGAACTTACTTAACTTTCCTAAACCTTGGTTTTCTCATCTTTAACATGCAAATAATAATACCAACCTCACTGGGCTGTTTTAAGGACTAAAAGAGATACCATGTGTAAAGGATTTAGCATGGTATAAACCATACATAGGTGAAGCTCTTTATTCCCTACTTTTGAATTACTTGTGTGATTCTTTAGAGTATCAATTATATATTAGGTTTTTAATGAGTCCATTCTTTGCAGGATTTTGTCATTAAAACCTGCAAAATTAACTCAAATTTGGACCTAAAATAAACCTATTGGTTATTGGAAATACATTAATGCAATTGTTTATTATTTCAACTTGATTTTAATTAGCAGGGTGGGAGATGCTTTTGATACAATATTAAAGTGTTTTCTTAATTCTCCCATGCAGTCGTCTCCAGGGTGAAAGCTTCTGCTTTAGTGCTTGGTCAAGCCTTAAACTTTATATGTTTTGGCACTGCTCTGTAACAGAAGTGTTCATGGCTGAGACTGCCAAGTGCACAGAGTAAATATAAATTTTTATCAGTACAGTAAGTGTTCATAATACTGACTGTCAGTGGAAGGCTATATAATACTTTTATGATTCCAAGTTTTAGAAGAGCAATAAGGCTTTGAAGTGACTGTAAGATGTTTACATCTAAGCTATTGATGCCCACAAATCACTATTGCACATATAATAATGCCCACAGTATTTAGCATGAAACAAGCAAGGAATGAAGAGGCCAGGATATAACCCAAGCTTCATGATGACTCTCTATGAGCCAAATAAACTCAATGAGACCATTGCTGGTAGAAAGTCAACTTACAGGGTTACTTGGAAACAAAAAAAAATGAGCTAACACAAGTGAAATAGTACATTTCTATAGCATGACTCTACAATTGTAATGGCCTTCATCCAACTCCACTGCATTGTTTTTAAAGAATCCAGCGGCTTTTCAAGTAAGCCATTTGCATTGACACCGATTATGTGATGATGAAAAATAACCTGATTTCCATTCAGACCCATCAACATCAGAGAGATCTTCAAAAATCATATTGCCTATTTAATTATACTCCCAGGAATTTCAATTTTAACATGAAGATAACAAACAGAAATCTTCTATACACTCTCCTTAGTGTTGATGGCTTGTATTTTTCTCATTTATCACATTTTCGTTGAGCAGATATCTGTGCTGAGCTATGAAACATCTTTTAAGAAATGAAGGTACCACCATGCTTATACTGGAAGAAATTCCAGTCTAGTAGGGAGAAACTAAGTAAGATATTACAGAGAAAAACAGCCTATAAGGCCATGCCCCCCTCCCACCTTTCTTTTTTTCTTTCTTTTTCTTAATCAAAGTCTTACTCTGTCACCCAGGCTGGAGTGCAGTGGCATGATCTCGGCTCACTGCAACCTCCGCCTCCCAGGTTCAAGCAGTTCTCCTGCCTCAGCCTCCTGAGTAGCTGGGACTACAGGCTTGCACCACCACGCCCAGCTAATTTTTGTATTTTTTTTAGTAGAGACAGTGTTTCACCATATTGGCCAGGCTGGTCTCAAACTCCTGACTTCGTGATCCACCTGCCTCAGCCTCCCAAAGTGCTGGGATTACAGGCGTGGGCTACTGCACCTGGCCAAGGCCATGCCTCTTAAAGCAATTTCAATTCATTCTTCTTTTTTGTGTGTGTTTTGTTTTGTTTTTCTTTTTAAGTTGTCCTGTTGGAAACTGGGCCTATGCTATCCATGGAGCATTAGAACAAACTGTTCCAATCTGGCACTTGTCTAAAAATATTAAATCCACTGACTGCTTGAAAGAATGAATTGTGCTACTCCCCCTTTGAAAGTTCTTGAATTAATTCTCAAAATGCCAATACCTCTTGGAGCCCAAAAAGATAGCTCACTTATGCTAAGAACATTTTTGGCCATAGGAAAGGATTTGAGGTGAAATCAGAATGAAATTTTCTGCCCTAGAACAGCATTACATTAAAATGTTGTGCCTGATCTATGATTCCTGAAGCTCTGGTGTATCACGCATTTTCGAAATTGATAATATATTATCTTGGATTGTTCTCTAATTGTTTTATGATTCTTCATTTTAATCCACAACTTTAAAAAGGGCAGGGACAGCATCTTTTACTTCTGCCATATCCCTTATAATATCCTACACAGTGCTGGCATTCAGTGCAATTTTAATACATATTTTGTAAGTTCTCCTAGGTAACATGAATAATGCAGTAACTCTTTTGTTAGAATGATCCTTTCACTCATTCAACAGAACATGCTGTGTATCCTTTTATTTAGAAAATGAAATGCTCCAAACTTTTAAACTGGTAGACCCAAAGGGCACTTTATGTCTGGCTCATTCCAGTGCTAAGGGGATACCTCCCACTTTCCTCACTTTTTGCCTCTCAACACATCCAACTGGTTATGACGTTTTATCAATTCCATCCGCCAACCATCTCTCTGATCCACTTCTTCCTCTCCACCTTTAGCCCTACTGCTTAAATTCAAACCCTTACATCTTTCACCTGGGTTGTTTCAAAAGTCTCCAAATTGATTTTTGTTTTCATTTTTCATCCAGTTGTGATTCAATCAACACATATTTATCAAGGACTAACTATGTACCTAGTGGTTTCTAGGTACTGAGGATACAGACCAGATCCTTGTTGTTGTGGGTCTTCTGTTCTGATGCTCAGAGACAATAATAACCAAGAAGACAAATAAATAAACTAGATAATTTCAGGTGATTTTAAGTACTACAAATGAAAAAAATAAAGTGATGTGATACTGACTGGCGGATATTAAGGGAGGATTCTTTTTTTAAAAAGGCATTTTGAATTTGTAGCGTTTAACTGAGTTTTGAATGGGGAAAATGAACCAGCTATTGAAGGGCTGGGAAGACAGTCTTCCAAGTATGAATAAGGGCATGAGGCTGGAACAGAGAGCAAGCCCACAAGGATAGAACATAGAAAATGTGAAGTGTCATATAGGCTGAGACGGATAGGTGGACTGGCAGCAGATTATGTGGCTTTGGAGGCGTTTGAAAGGAGTCTGCATTTTATTCTAGGAGTGATAGGAAGATATTGGAGAGTTTTTAAACAGGGAAGTAGCATCATATAACATGTAATTTAATTTTTAATAGGCTTACTCTTGCTATCCTGAGGAGACTGGATTGCAAGTAAGCAAAGCCTGAATCAAAAAGGCGAGTTAGGATGCTATTGCAACAATCCAGGTTAAGAGACGATGGCTTGCACTATGGTGATGAAAAGTGAAATGAAGAAAATGATTAAACTTAGAATGTATTTCGGACATTAGGAGAAAGACAAAAGGAAAAAATGGCACCTAGGGATGGGGCTCCATAATCCAGTTGGCTAATTGTATTATGTATTAAAATGGACAATATTCCACAAATAGAGTAATTTTTCTGAAACTCAAGTCTGGTTATGTTTTGTGCTTACTTAATATATTTCAATTAGTTCAAAATTCTATTCAATATTTCCTGTCCTTTCCAATATAAAACCCAAGTTTTGTGTTATACGCATGGAATCATCTGAACTCGTCTTCCCTAACCAGGCTCCTTCCCTCTCACTCCTCCACAAAGCACCTGGAGCTCCAGCCATAATGAGCTACCCACTTCTTTTCTTGACATGCTGCACATTCTCATGTCTTCATGCTTCAGCATTTACTCTTTCTTATGCTTCATATGTCCTTGACCCTCCTCTGTGCTGCCACATGCTACTTATCTTTCAAGATGCAGCCTAAGTGTTACTACTCCCTCTGTGATGCCAGGCCCAGGTGAGTTAGGTGCTCCTCTGTGTTCTCCAAGTCTCCTGAGCCAGCCTTTGGGAATGAGACAATCACATTTCAGTGGCTAGATATGCCTTGACTGTGAGCTTTGTGAAGTATGGTCTTACCCAATTTTGTACTCCCAGGGTCCAGGGTCCAGGAATCACATGGTCATTGCTAAATAACTGTTTCTTAAGGAAACAAATGCTTGAGACACATTTAACACACTATCTTCTAAGTCTAGCTATGCAATTCTTCCACTTGTATAAATAGACTAGAAGCTCCAGTCTATTCCTAGTCCAAAACCCCCAGGACCTAGGCTGAGATGAACCTCACTGCAAAATCACCTTTGGAGGGGAATAAACTCTTTGGTAACTGCTCTGTAGCTATTCTTTGTTTGACTCATTTCTCAGCTTATGTGGGTCCCTTAAGGGCATGGACCTAGAACTTGAAAGGAAATTTCAACCTGGATATATACCTGGATTTTAGCTGAATCCATATTTGTGTCTTGGATAGCATCAAGACCAGGCAGAATGATCTTTAGGAGTTGCTGGTGAAATAACACTGCCTGATAAAAGACATTACAGCTCTCTGAATGGGCCAGGATAACCTGTACCTCACCCCAGTGAGCACAGTACTTTTACTCTTTCTGGTTAACAGGATGGGACTCTTTGTTAATTATTCATCTGTTTCTTACCTATAGCCCACTGCAACAATAAACAGTAATATTGGTAACCCTTTGTTGTTTCTTGACTCTAGGTTTGCTTCATGGATGTTCAGAAACATGGAAGATATTTTTGTAGAGAAAAAAAT
Organism: Homo sapiens; assembly: GCF_000001405.40. NCBI lineage: Eukaryota > Metazoa > Chordata > Mammalia > Primates > Hominidae > Homo > Homo sapiens. The sequence continues at coordinate 198,702,815 of NC_000002.12, read as the reverse complement.
GTCATCAGGGTAATTACTTTATGGGTCTTGAGACCCTGAGACTAGCCACTGCACTTTGAAGCAAGATGTTTTCTTAATGAGGAACTTATTTTCAGTGTCTCAAAGTCATAAAAATTAACACTGACCCCTCCCTATATTTTACACTGTCTCTGTGTTGTGCTTGCCTAAATATGTTGCCAGTAGATTTATATTCTAATAACTTGATTTTTAATTAGTGAGAAACCAAGGCAGTACTAGTTAAATGTCTCAGAAAGCATTGCAGATGACTCTAAATGCCTTATGATATAAATACCTTGAGTAAAATGAAAACACAAGTAGCTTTGCGTATATTTATATGTTTTGCCCTTTAAGTTTTGAGTTTAAAGGCTGAAAGCAGAGACAGTGGTAAAAGCAAGGCAGCTTCTTCTGAAGATCTATGCACTAAATTAGTTTGATTAAACTCAGTGCACACTTACCAGGCACCTACTATGTGCCAGGCATGTGAGGGGCAGGATGAAGAATACTGAAACAAACAGTACAAAGGGCATGGTGCCCAAGATCTGTTCAAAATAAGTTATCTTCCAAGGGAAACCTTTTCTATTCCTTTGGGTGTTCTCAATACATAGGTCAAACCAGGGGTGATGCCACAATTCTGTGGTCTTAAGCATTTCTTTGGAAATTGCCACGTCCATGATTTTCAAAAATATCTGATACAATTCATTTTTTCAGGCAAACACTAAGTGAAAGTGCAACAGTTCTAATCATTATAATTCACTTCTGGAAAGTAAATATCCATTTACCCAAAAAACATAAGGTGCTTTTTAAAAGTAAAATATTTTTTAAATTAAGTAAAATGGTTTTAAACATCTAAAATTATTTCAAAGTTAAATGGTCTAAATCAAAAAATAATTTATTCTCTGACATTTTCACTCTGGACTAAAATGTAATTTCTGGTTCATTTTAGTTCTGTACTAGAATAAAATTCCTAGTCAAACATGTTCAAAAATCTTTCTTTTATGAGTGAAATAGGATTTTGTGAATTTGCTACTCAGAACTTTGCAATGGAATTGGTGTTCAGGACTAGAAAAAAGTAGAGT